>NC_000020.11:9763304-9914819 GCF_000001405.40 Homo sapiens | reverse complement strand
CACCATGTATTAATTTTGCCTGTTCTTGAACTTCATAGAAATGAAATCATACATTAAGTACCTGTTTGTGTCTATCTTTCTTTGCTCAGCATAATGATTGTGAGATTCACCACGTTGTGTGTCTCAGTAGTTCATCCTTTTGTATTGCTGAGTAGTATTTTATTATGTGAATGTAACATAATTTATCCATTTTCCTGTTGATGGGCATTTAGGTTATAACAGATTCTGGCTGTTATAACAGATTGACTGTTATCAATAAAGCTGCTATGAAAACTCTTGCACAGGTCTTTTTGTCGACACATGTTTTCATTTCTCTTAGATACATTTTCTTCCAGGAGCATCAGGTTGTAAATGTTTTAACTTTACAAAATACTTTTCTTTTTTTGAAATTGATTGTACCAGTTTATATCCCAAAACAGCAATGTATGAGAATTCTAGTAGCTCTATATATTCTCACAAACATTTGGTGTGGTTACTCTGTTGGTTTGACTTTCTTTTTCATTTTAACCACAGTAGTTGGTTTGAAGTGGTAAGCTTTACTATTTTTGCAGAATTTTTAAATGTACGCTGACCTGAAATTGTTCATATTTGAGCTGAGAAAATTAATTTTGAGGTTCAAACTTAATGTTTACAATTTTGCTATAAAGGCATAAGGATGATACAATGGACTTTGGAGACTTGGGGGGAGAAGTGGATGGGGGAAAGGGATAAAAGAGTACAAATATGGTGCAATGTATACTGCTTGGGTGATGGGAGCACAAAAATCTCACAAATCACCACTAAATGACTTACTCATGTAACCAAATACCACCTGTACCCAAATAAGTTATGGAAAAAAAATATAAAACTTTAAAAAAATTAAAATAAATAAATAAAATCTAACTGGGTACTATGCTCAGTACCTGGGTTATGGGATCAATCGCACCCCAAACCTCAGCATCATGCAGTATACCCAGATAACAAACCTGTGCATGTACCTCCTGAATCTAAAAGTTAAGATTATAAAAAAAAATAAAAATAAAATTTTGCTTTAGATGCAAATCATCTTTTGAGTTGCAGTCTCCTTTATAATATGACTTGACTGGCTTAAATTTAATTATTTAGATCAAGCAATAGTAAATTATGTACAGAATTATAGAAATACATAAATGCCTTTTAAATAAAGATAACTTAAATGATCAGAAAATGGAGCTTGGGCTGGAAGGGAAATTTGGACTATAGAGTGTAGAGGAACTTGATTTAAAGGTAAAACTTGGCAGTGAAGACTAAATAAAGGAAGGTTGTGACATTCTAGATCAGTATTTGGTAAACACCTATTGTGAGACTAACCTGCAAGTTCCATGAGCATTTATTTAGTGCTTCTTCAGCATTGAAACACAATGAAATGTTTCCTAATTAGATTAATACTAAAATAGTATTAATTTGTTTTTGTAATACATGCTTTCCATTTTCTTTTATTGTTTTTATTAACTTTTTGAGTGATATACATTTAAAATTATTTGTCATTAGTGTTCTGCATGAAACAATTGCTCAAAGTGAGAAAATCTGGTGTGCATGATCAACAGCAGTGATCCTCCAACTTCAGTGAAGGTCAGAACTTAGTAAAAATACAAAAGCTCAGGCCCCGTCGTACTTCAGGAAACCTGGTCGTGTTCTTTGTTAGTTGTCCAGGTGATTCTGGGTTTAATAACTACTGCTCTAAAGCATGTTCCAGCAGGAGGCCGCATTGAAAGAAAACAAAATACGGCTTAATTATGGTGTAATGTCAGCAGTGGCCGACAGGTGGAGCACTCGCTCACAATGCTAGCGAAATAGGAGTATTAGCATAAAAAGCCATTTCTAGAGAAAAAAGTAATAAGTGGAAATAAAAAGTACAGCTATATTTGTAGAATAATTAAAATGACCTTTCTTCTTTAATGTCTTTGAGCTTGTGACTCCTAACATCTTCTAGAAAAACATGTAGGAACTTCCACTCGTGAATCTAAAAGTATTTCTTTAGACTTTTAACACCAAAAGTCTGGCTGTAATCTTTCCTAAGAAAAATTCAGTTGTGTCAAGATAAAATCATCAAGAAAATGATCCATGCATTATCCTGCACTTGACTTCACTAAAAGGTCAGAAAGTGGTTCATTCTTCTCACCCTGTTCAATCACTAGGGTGATTAGCCTTGAAAGGCTCACACTGGGAATTACTTTGAGGATTAAAAGGCTGCCTCTTACGCGTGGCTTTAATAAAACTGATCAATTGTAGTGAGTCTGGCCACAAAGTTAGCTTGCTTTGAGTTTGCTGAAAAAGTACATGCTATGTGGAAGGACACAGATTATTTTCTGGGCAATAGGCAGGGATAACGACTTTACTCCAATGCCCCAGTCAAAGGCAGTGATGTTCCAGATCTGTGCTTGCAGGTAGAGTTCAAATGTCCAGGTCAACTTGAAATTGTTCCGCATGCTCATATTTTTCAAATAAAGAGCTTGAATAAGCCTGGGAAATACACTTCATTTATTCACTGATCATGGGTAAACATTCGCTCTGCTAGACAATGAGTAAGAGCTGAAAATTAGGATATAAAAGATATAGCTTAGGCTTGGAGAAGGCAAGTGATCAACTTGCTGCAGTAGAGTGACACTCCTCACCCATGTAACTGATCGTCCCATATTCCCTCAACACTCAACTTCTATGCTACAGACAATTTACCCGGAACATCAAACATTCACCACCTGACGGCTTCTTCCTGGCTTTGGAACACACCCAATTACTGCCTTAGTTTCCCCAAAGAAGTCCTCAACCAGTGACTTCCAGGAGTTGATGGATAAATATCCCAGCTTTCTGACTTTGCAGTTGAGACAGCTCTGAAGTTGTTCTACACTGTCCTTTAGAGTTCCTCTGCAGGACAGAGTTTCTCCTCTTGCCCACGGTGGTAACTGGTTTGATAACACACACTTTATCAGATTCTTTCCATTCTCTGTCTCACTTCCCTCTTCCCTACTAGTGCTTCCTGGCATTAACTTCCACATTAAAAACTCACACTCAAGTTCTTGTCTTAGGGTCAACTTCTGGGAAACCCAACCCAAGGGCACTTATTAGCTACACTTACGCAGGTGGATGAGAGGTTGGGAGGTGCTGGGGACATACTTACAAACAGAAGCACGAGGGAACTTGAGATTGTGAATAGTTTGCTATTGACAGAACATAGGGCACAAGGATTGTAAGTGATGGTAATGGATCCTGAATGCTAATCTAAAGAATTTGCATTCTTAGATTATCAAAATCTAAGAATGGAGGCATTGGGGATCCACTGAAATATTTTCTAAACTAAGGGGAAGAAACCATGTTATGACCAGCTATAAGGTCCAGGCAAGTGTACATGAAGCTTCAAAAGTGAACAGACAGCATGGCATTGGTTCAAAAACAGACACATAGACCAATAGAACAGATAACCCAGGAATAAAGCCACATACCTACAGCCATCTGGTCTTCAACAAAGTTGACAAAAATAAGCAATGGGGAAAAGACTGTCTATTCAATAGATGGTGCTGGGATAACTGGCAGAAGAATGAAACTGGACTCCGACCTATCACCATATACAAAAATTAACTCAAGATGGATTGAAGACTTAACTGTAAGACCTCAAACTATAAAAATCCTAGAAGGAAACCTAGGAAATACCCTTCTCAATGTCAGCCTTGGCAAATAATTTATGGCTACATCCTCAAAAGCACTTGCAACAAAACTAAAAGTTGACAAATGGGACATAATTAAAGAGCTTCTGCACAGCATGAGAAACCATCAAGGGAGTAACAGACAACACACAGAGTGGGAGAAAATATTCACAAACCACACATCTGACAAAGGTCTAATATCCAGAATCTATAAGGAACTTCAGCAAATCAACAAGCAAAAAAAAAAAAAAAAAACCAAAAACCAAAAACCAAAAAAAAAAAAAAAACAACTCCATAGAAAAGTGGGCAAAGGACATGGGCAGAAACTTCTCAAAAGAAGACATACATGTAGCTAACAAACATGAAAAAATGCTCGTCATCACTAATCATCACATAAATGCAAATCAAAACCACAATGAAATACTATCTCACACCCATCAGAACGGCTTTGTTAAAAAGTCAAAAAATAAAAGATGTTGCTGAGGCTGCAGAGGAAAGGAAAAACTTATACACTGTGGCAGGAATGTAAATTAGTCCAGCCACTGTGGAGAGCAGTTTGGAGATTTCTCAACTAAGAGTTGAGGTATCCTTCAACTCAGCAATCCCATTACTAGCTATATCCAAAGGAAAATGAATTATTCTACCAAAAAGATACAAGCATGTGTGTTCACTGCAGCACTATTCATAATAGCAAAGGCATGGAATCCACTCAGGTGCCTATTAATGGTGGATTAGATAAAGAAAATGTGTTACATATACACCATGGAATACTAGGCAGCCATAAAAGAGAACAAAATCATGTCCTTCGTGGCAACATGGATGCAGCTGCAAACCATTATCCTAAGGAAACTAATGCAGAAAAAGAAAACCAAATACCACATGTTCTCACTTATAAGTGGGATCTAAACATTGAGTACACAAGGACATAAAGATGGGAACAATAGATAGCAGGGACTACTGGTGGGGGAGAAGAGAAAAGGCTGAAAAATTACTTATTTTGTATTATACTCACTACCTGGGTGATGGATTCCTTCATACTGCAAACCTCAGTATCACACAATATACCGTTGTAACAAACCTGCACATATCCTCCCTGATTCTAAAATAAAAATTCAAAAAAAGAAAAAAAAAGTGAATGGACATGGGGTACTCCTTTTAGAATGTGATAGAAATCGCCATTTTCTCCACATAAAAATGCACATAAGCACATACATACCATCTTGCAAAGGAATTCCCAGGTGTTCACAGATCCATTTTGAAGCACAGCCATGGACCTCCTCAAGGTTTATGGAAGGGGGAATAAGAACTCCATGAGCTGAGTAAGAAGACAAAGGAGGCCAAGGAATTGAGGAATTGAGGAATTGAGAATAATAACCTCCAAAGTATATACAGGAATAAAGAAGGTGGAATAAAAAGCTGCCATAAGACAGGAAAAGACTCAAAGCAGAATCTTATAGAGAAAATCGAAAGATGCTCTTGATTGAGCTACTTTTGAATAGTAGGTTTTGGAAGAAGATGATAGAAGACTTTTGCTCTTTTGTTCTCTCAGTTTTTTAGTTGTTCACTGAAAGTGAAACAAATGATAATTACCAACCAGGAAATATTCCATGGCAGTGGAAACAAACCAAAAATTTCCCAAGTGAAATTCAATTAATACAAGTATGGATTGGCTCCTATAATGTTAGTTGTTGTTAGTTAGGCTATCTGTCAACATCTAAAAATAAGGAAGTTTCAGATACAATTTTGTATCTCTAGATTTTATTTTTAGGATAAAGTATCAAAATATCAATGTCAGCATTCTCAAACAGTTTTCATGATCTGGGAAAGCTGAAGGTTTTGGCCCTCATAGGCTATTGTATGTTGCTCTCCAGTTGGCCACAATCACTTTTACTTGTTGACATGACCTGCCTGGCCCTTATACACTTTTAATCTTTTGAATCTTCACAGTCTTACAGTAAACATTCATATCTCAACAGCCACCCCATTATTCTTTAATTCATTCAGTTATTCATGAGCATTTATTGAATGTCTGTCCCATGCAAGAAACCATGTTGGATGCTAGAAATAGAAAGACAAAGCTATTTACAGAATGCCCCAAGCTATTTATAGAATAGCCAATAGTAGCAAAAAAAAAAAAAAAAAAGTAGACTAAAAAATCCTGGTAGTCATTTGTACAACAACAAATGTGACAGGGCTCAGGGCACAAACTTTATATTATTGTGCCTTGATCACAAAATTTAAATGTCTATTCTTTCTTGATAAGCCATTACTCATTCACAGGTTGGGTCAATTATTAAAAGACTTATACAATCACTCATGTCTTTCAGGAGTGGAACGAAGAAGAGCTTGAGAAGGAGCTTTTCTGAAGGAGAAGAAGGAAGTAATTATTTAAGAATACTGCAAGGCGTTCTCACTTATTTGTGGGAGATAAAAATTAAAATAACTGAACTCGTGGAGATAGAGATAGAAGGATGGTTACTAGAGACTGGAAGGGTAGTGCGGATGGGGGTCCTGGGGGAAGTGGGGATGATTAATCGGTACAAAAAAATAGTTAGAAAGAATGAAGAAGACTTTTATTTGCTAGCACAGCAGATTGACTAAGTAAAAATAATGTAATTGTACATTTTTAAATAAATAAAATTATAATTAGATTGTTTGTAGCATGAATGATAAATGCTTGAGGTGATGGATACTCCATTTACCCTAAAATGATTATTAGGCATCACATGCCTGTATCAAAATCTCTCATGTGACTCACAAATATACACACTTACTATGTACTTCCAAAAATTAAAAATAAAAAAATAAAGAACAATGCAAGATGAAGCAATCAGGAAGTTTTCCAGGATGGAAAAGAGAAGGGGGGATGCTTTTGGATCTTCACTGTCAGGCTGGTGCACCCATCTGCCAGAGTACCCATATCTCAAGTTCTATAAACACTGGTTGCCAATGATGCATAACTGCCCTGTTCTGCACGGAATTGCCCTTGGCCAATGGGAGCTGCCCTCTACAGTAGGTTATAACCCTCCCTTCAGGTGGAAGGGGATATCCAGCAAGCAATGACTGATAGACATGGGTATGAGAGATCAGGAGAGAAGGGTACAACTCACACTGCAGAACTCCCCGTGGGATGAGGCTGAGGCCGGAGGCCAGTTGAGAATGTGTCCTTGCTTAAGTTTTTTCTCACGTTCTGACCTGTTCCTCTACTCCTTTCCTCCTGAGAACTCTTCCTCAGTCACCTAGTCTTGAATCTCTGTCTCAGGCTCTGCTTCTAGGCAATTCTGACCAAAATGAAATACAAAGACGAACAAAATATTTGTTTCTGATTGTATCATTAGCAGAGAATAGCAGAATATCAGCATCTTAGGATGGGATCAGATTTTGTGAATTTAGATCACAGCACGAAGACATACTAATGGAATTGCATGATTTATATAACACAAACTCAAAATTAAATTTGTAGCTCTCTTTAGAGACAATAGTATACTGTCATAGGATTATGTACATTTCCACATTGAAGATGAGAAGCTGCTAACTTTAATTCCGATGAGAAAAAAAGTGCCAGTCGCTTTAGGGTTCTGAGGGGCTTCCTGTGATAATGACAGGAAAGCTGATGTCTGTGCTGGGCAGATGGATTATGGTCCTAGGCAAAGCCAATGGCTATTAGCTCTGGCCTTCTTATTTCCAGCAAATGCTTGACCTACAGATCATCCAGATTCTCGTTAATTCAGTAGATGAGGAAAATGAAGTCAAAATGGAAAAGGCTGCAAGATCACGTTTTTAAACATTAAGGGAAGTCTTCATGTCCTTGTGCAAAAATTTTAGCAGCCGCCTCATTATCTTTCCTTCTACTGCTTTCAAATCTCCTCCTACTTCTCTTTCCACCTCCACTTATTTTTCAGACCACATGATGTGGGGAGGAAGTTTGCATTTTCAAAGGACTGAGAAGAATTAGAATTCAGTATTTAGAAATTTTCATTTTTGACTAAATAAATATCAGGATTATCTTGTCTATTCCAGCTCTTCTTAAATGCACTTGTATATCTGGGGTATGCACCCAAGCTCACACACATACTCAGTTACTCACTTATTCACATTCTCTTCTCCAAGTTGGTATAAAAAGGTACAATCCTATTTGAGCAAAGAAGCAATTGGGCTTCTGCTGGAATGACATGGAAGCCAAGCGGAAGGAAAAGAGAAGAAAAACAAACCAGTTATTGTCCAATTGGAGCTGTTCAACATCAGATGCTCAGACAAGTACATAAAAAATTCTTAAAGTTGTCAAGTGTCACGTAGAACATTTTCTGAAATGTATCAATCTTCTATCACCAGGTTTTGTGCATCCATTCCCAGAATAAAAGCATACATTGACAGTCTAAGCTGGGAAACTAAATTTCCATGATTTGCATTCTTGCCTTTTTCAGGTAAGTATCCCATTCCTGCTGTGATGGTTAACACTGAGTGTCAACTTGATTGGATTGAAGGATGCAAAGTACTGATCCTGGGTGTGTCTGTGAGGGTGTTGCCAAAGGAGATTAACATTTGAGTCAGTGGACTGGGACAGGCAGGCCCACCCTCAATCTGGTGGGCACAATCTAATCAGTTGCTAGCAAATGTAAAGCAGGCAGAAAAATGTGAAAGGTGACACTGGCTTAGCCTCCCAGCCTGCATCTTTCTCCCATGTTGGATGCTCCCTGCCCTGGAACATCGGACTCTAAGTTCTTCAGTTTTGAGACAGGCTTTCCTTGTTCCTCAAGCTTGCAGACAGTCTATTGTGGGACTTTGTGATTGTGTAAGTTAATATTTAATAAACTCTCATATATATATATATATATATATATATATATATATATATATATATATCTCCTTTTTTTTTTTTTTGAGATGGAGTCTCACTCTGTCACCCAGGCTGGAGTGCAATGGTGCGATCTCAGTTCACTGCAACCTCCACCTCCCAGGTTCAAGTGATTCTCCTGCCTCAGCCTCCCAAGTAGCTGGGATTACAGGCACATGCCACTATACCCAGCTAAATTTTTGTATTTTAGTAGAGACAGGGTTTCACCGTGTTGCCCAGGCTGGTCTCGAACTCCAGAGCTCAGGCAATCCACCTGCCTCAGCCTCCCATAGTGCTAGGATTACAGGTGTTAGTTCTGTCCCTCAAGGGAATCCTGATTAACACACCTGCCAACATGATCCCCCTTGTTCATTTTAATTTCTCCATAAAACATATCTCTACCTGACCTGTTATTTTATTGTTTATTGTTTGTCCTCTTCTCCCCCACCATAAGAATATAAATGCCATAAACCAGGGAT
Source organism: Homo sapiens (assembly GCF_000001405.40). Classification (NCBI taxonomy): domain Eukaryota; kingdom Metazoa; phylum Chordata; class Mammalia; order Primates; family Hominidae; genus Homo; species Homo sapiens. Next base: position 9,905,847 of record NC_000020.11, on the reverse strand, counting down.
ATTGTCTGCTTTGTTCACTCTTCCATCCCGAGGTTGTTTCCTAGCATGTAATAAGTGCTTAATAAATAGGTGCCAAATGAATGCACAAATGATAATGGCAATATCAGATGTATGGATTGCAAATGAGAAAAATGTGGAGTGCAAGAATAGCAATTAATAAAAGAAACATCTTGAAAAGTATCTACACCATTCTAGAAATATCTTTATCCCATTTTCTAATTGTTTAGAGGGATGCTGGTGCATTCCTGACTTGTGCTACTGAAGCAGACCATGAAAGCAAATCCTGGGAAGGGACTTTTTTTTTTCTTCTTAGTAAAGAGTTAATTATTGTGGCCAAACTAAGCAGAGCATACAACGTGCTGTTTTCAGCTGGGCACTGAGGGTAGGAAAACAGTATGAAATGGCCTATGGCTGAATCTAAGCCACATCTCTTGTTAACTGTGAGACACACTTCAGTTAGGTAAGTCCAGGCCCAGAGTGAGGGGTAATCTAAAATGGCTCAAATAGCACTTACATATTTCTTTCTTTCTCATGTAATAGCAGTCTGGAGCTACTAGTCCTGAATTGGAAATGCAGCTTCAAGGTCACCAGGAACCCAGGCTCTTCCTATTTTTTGGCCCCACCATGTTAGTGTATGGCCTTCATCCCCAAGGTAACCTTTTGGTTAAAGATGGCTGCCAAAGTTTAAAAACATCAAATGATCATGGAAGGTCTGACAAAAGAAGAGAGTCAGAAGGTTGACAAGTTCTTATCTTATAAGTTGCTTATTTACTTGAAGTCTGAGCTCTCATTTTCCATCGTCAAGTTCTATGCCACCTTTCTGTTTACATCTCCTTGGCTACGTGCTAGTATCCTGGCCATACCTACCTTCAAAAGAGGCTGTTATTTTTATTTTTCAAAAATGTTTGTAGAGTTGGGGTCTCACTATGTCACCCAGGCTAGTTTCAAACTCTTGGGCTTAAGTGATCCTCCCACCTCAGCCTCCCAAAGTTTTGAGATTACAGGCATGAGCCATCATGCCTGGCCAAGAGAGGCTTTTAGCTAACTGCATTGGTACTCCACATGGAATTCAGTCTCTATTGCAAGAGAAGAAATGGAGAATAGGTATTGGGTAGCAAATTGTAGTCTCTCCCATACCTCAGGTAAGTTAGTTATTCTTTTCGAGCCTAGTTTTCTTATCTGTAAAGTAGGAATAAGAGAGTTATTGAGAATACTGCATGAAATAATGTATACAAAGTCTGTACAGTGCCTGACACATCGTAAATGATTAATGTTAAGGATTAGTGTTAATCGATGTAATTGTTTTTGTTATTACTATCCCTGACCTTCCAAGAGTTTGATATTTTCTAGGAAAGACAAGTCGAGCAAAGAAAATATGTAAATGACAGTGAAATTCAGTAGAGAATTTTATCTCTGAATCAGTAGGGCAAATGAGTGTTACAGGTATGAGCAGGGACTATGGGGTTGGGGAAGATTTTAGCTGTGTCAAGAAAAGCAGGTAAGGTGTCCTGAAATGCCTTCAACAGCACTTTTCTGAAAAAGCCTTCTTATGCTTGTGATTCAGTTTGCTGAGGATAATTCAGTAACATAGTGCCATTGATGAGAGTCATTATATTTACATTTCAAATAAGCTAGCAGCCACTTTGTGATTGGTAGGGAGGAAAGGGTTGTTTTGCTATATTCTTCTCTCTGATTTTTCCTGACGTCTTTAAGGAAGAAAAAAGGGTGAAGAAGCTCCATCCAACAGAGAATTTCTTTATAGAAGGCAGTCACAGAATAATTCCCATAATTAAGAATCCATAATAAACAGCTGTGTTATACTCCTACCCTGATAAATTGATCTACCTAGAGTTAGACCAGTGTTACTCAAAGTGTGGCCCATGGACCAGCAGCATTGGCATCACCTGATAGGTTGTCAGAAATGCAGATTCTCAGGTGCCACCCCCCGATCTGTTGAATAGGAATCTGCATTTTATCAGGATCCCTTTGTGATTTGTGTGATCTCAGTTTGAGAAACACTGCTATACAATACACTTCTGCTTTCAAGAAGTTAATATGAGGAGAAATAAAACATAAAAATTAGCACAAATAGCAAAACAGTAAATGCACACAAGCTTTCAAGTGATTCCAGGATAACAAAAGATCCAAACCGATCTGATACCAAAGTGATTTGAACATTTAAACTGTGCCAATCTAAGAGAATTTCATTAGGAACAGCTATTGTTTGTTTGCCTAATATCCCTTACTTTTTCTGAGAACTGCAGCATTCCCTTCTGGCAACTTTGGCATTCACTTTTCCACATGGTCCTCATGTTGTAAACAAAGAAAGCCTTTTATCTGACAGCATCAGCCCCCAGCCCTGTTCATGAACACACACTCCCTGGGAGGAGCCTGTCTTTTGGAGAACAGTCCTTCATTAAGAATAGGAGAAATGCCAGGTCCTTGTTGATGGCTTCTGTTTGCTTTACTAGCATTGCCTTCAATCCAATTTTCTCTGAAGGGAAACTCTATAAGCCACTTGTCCATTTTACATGGTTTTATTTTGTTACAACAAGATCATCTATAAATCACTTAAACTAGCACCTGTAAGCTCAAATCTGTCTTGACACATGGAAGTCCAGCAGGGGCGCTATTGCCAATTCCTCAGCAATGTAGCATTTCACTCTTTTTCCTTGGGGTACTTTGGGTACATGTGTGACACCTGACCTTCCTTTGGGTATATGACATCTAAACCAAGAGAAGGAACCAGTGCAAGTGGGCATATGAAATATTTTTGTTTCCTATATTTTCTTCTGGCACCCAGTGGATTGTTTTTAGCAACCTCACAACCCCTTAGACACCTCTGGTTTAAATTCCAAAACACTGCCAGTTGAAGCACTCACTGGTACCTGGGAGTAGCATAGCTTGCTTATAGGAAAAGATCCTAAGGAAATAAATGTCTTTTTGTATGCTGAAAACATAAAACTTGTTAAAAAATACTGCCCAGAAGTGGATCAGGAGGCATAAGTGAAGACTTTATCAAATGTGAATAATTGTGTCTTTGTTCAAGGGAGTGTGAGAGCAGCAGAGATTGTGGAACCTCAAGTTGTCGGCTTGGACAGAATAAATTACCTTCTGAAAATGTGTGTATGTAGGTGTGGCCAAAGACAGTGGTGGTGCTCCAGAATTAGAAGTGAGAACAATGTCTGTCATGGAGCTGAGAAGCTGGGATAGCTGGGGTATTTTTATAACCACATACAGCTCATGTGTGGTCCACATATAGGTACATAGAACACTTCAAGGTTTCATGAAACTTTTTGCTTTCTCTCAGTGGACTCGATATCAATGATTTTTTTGGAGCTCTGATAGCTTTGCACTAAATTCTGAATTTGCTGTAGATCCCCCTAGAAATTAATAAGTTAATCAGGGAAAGTAAGGTTATAACTACTTTACCTCTAAAATAATAATGAGCTTCACTTTCTCATCAAATTTTGAAGTATTTTATTGCCTATACTTGGCATAGATTTTTTAAATTAACATACAGTAAAATTGGCTCTCTTCCTGGTGTATACTTCTATGAGTTTTAATACTGTATAGATTGTGTAACTACCACCACATAAGGATACAGACACTTTCATCTCCTTAATGTACTCCCTGAGAGAGATTTCTACACACTTTCCCGAACCAAGATAATGGCTTAGACTTGCCTTAGACTTGTCCATTCTACCTTCACAAAAACTATGCTCCTCAATGCCTACAACATCCCCTCATCCATACCAGCTGCTGCTGCTACCATGTCCATGAATGGCTAAGTCACCTAGTCTCCCTGTGACTTCATCCACCTATTTAATTATACCCTGATTGCTTTTTAAATTTGTTTCCCTACTGAACAGTAAGCTCAGTCAGGTAAGAGCTATATCTGTGTTGTGTATGGCAAAACTTTAGACCATCAATGTCTATATAATAAAGGAACAAACAAATGAATTCTATTTTAGTGGAAACTATTCAAAGTCCTCTCTGTATTTATCTGACAATTACCATGTGTATCAGTTAGCTATTGCTGGGTAACAAACCACCCAAAAGCTCAGTGACTTAACAAGGGGTCAAAAAACTTTTCTGTGAGTGCTAGAAAGTAAATATTTCAGGCTTCACAGGTCGGTCTCAATTGCAACTACTTGTCTCAACTATAGTTACAGTTAACGCTGCCATTATAGCATGAGAGAAGCCATAGTCAATATGCAAACAAATGAGTTTATCTTTTGCTATGGTATGAATGTTTGTATGAATGTTATGGTATGAAGTTCAACATTCATGTTGAAACTTAGTCCCCAGTGCAATAGTGTTAAGAGGTGGGTAACGGGTACAAAAATACAGTTAAATAAAAGAAATGAGTTCTAGTATTTGATCATACAGTTGGGAAATTGTAGTTAATAATAATCTATTGTATATTTCAAAATAGCTAGAAGAGAAGAATTTCAGTGTTCCAAACACAAAGAGAAATGTTTGAGGTGATGGATATCCCATTAAGCTGATTTGATCATTACATATTGTATATCAGTATCAAAATATCACATGTATCCCAAATATATGTACAATAGTATTAATGCCTTATAAAAGGGCTTGAGGGACCAAGTTCATCCTTTCCATCTCTTCCATCCCTTCCACCATGTGAAGATACAGCATTCACCTCTTCTACCATGTCAGGATGCAGCAATAAGGCACCATCTCTGAAGAAAACAAAACAGCTCTCACCAGACATGAGATCTGCTGGTGCCTTGGACTTTCCAGCCTTCAAAACTGTGAAATGTAAATGTCTGTTGTTTAAGCCACCCAGTCTATGGTATTTTGTTATAGCAGCAGGTTCAGGTGAAGATAGCTGTGTTTCTATAAAACTTCCTTTACAAAAAGAGGCAGCAGGCCAGATTTGGCCCATGGGCTGAGGTTTGCTAATGCCTGGCTTACAGCAACAGCCATGTAATTATTTCTGATAAATTTATGGGTAGGTTGATCTTGGGCCAATCATATGTCTGTGGTCAGCTTGTGGGTAAGAAGAGGGCTAGATTTCTCAAGGATGGCTCATTGGTCTGCCTGGGATTTGGTCTGGCTATTTCTTAGAGATGGGATGACAACTAGCTTGAGCTTGTTCACACAGCAGAGGCAGAACTGAGAGAGCAAACTAAAATGTACCAGGCCTTCTAAATTTTAGTCTCAGAACCCGGCACTTGATCACTTCTGTTGCATTATGGGGCTAAGTCAAAAAAATCTCCACCTCTTTTTGGAAAAGACTTCAAGTTTACATTACAAAGGGGATGGTGAGATTTGGAGCCACTTTAATAATCCACCTATCATATTATCCCAGGATGCTATCCATAAAGAATGGCAGCCCTACCTTGCAAACAGCAGGACTGCTCCTCTTGGTTGCTCCCTGAAAGGTCTGTGGCCATTTGCCACCCCAGATCATCCTTCTTTGACATTATTTCCATTAATGGTTCCGTATCCATTAATTTTAGTGCTATAGCTAATCCAACAACTCAAACTGCCTCTCAAGAAAAAAGAGTAAAACATGTTTTGAATGTGCAATAATTAATAGATATTGTTCTGAAAAGCTCTTCTCAAGGAGCCTACTGGCAGATAAACTTTGGTCACCAAGAGCTAGATACATACCCACTAGCATATAAAATTAAAATAACTGACAACAACTTTGGCAAGGATATAAAAGCACTAGAACTCTTATAATTGCTGGTTGGAGTGTAAAAAGGTGCGTTTTGGAAAAAGATTTGACAGTTTGTTATAAACTACCCAGTAATTCCAAGGAAAATAAAAACATATGCCCAGAAAAGTACTTGTACACATTTATTCATAGCAGCCTTATTCATGAAACCCCACCATGAAACAACCCAAATGTCCATCAATAGAATGCATAAATATATAATCATATAGTAGTATGCTACTTAGCAATAAAAATGAACAAAATATTGATTTGCATGACAAAATAGATGAATGTAAAAATCAAGTACAGTGAAAGCAGCCTTACACAACAGGGTCTGTACTGATAGACACATTTCTATCAAGTTCTAGACCAGGCTAAACTAATCCATGATGAGTGAATCTGAACACTGATTGTTTCTGGAGGTGAGGGAAGGCAAGAAGGAACTTTATGAAGGGATGGAAATGTTCTATATCTGGATAGAATTGCAGGATACTTGGGTGTATGTCTTTTCCAAAATCTGTTGCTAAGATCTGTGCATTTCACTGTATGTAACTTTGCCTTAATTTTAAAATTAGAATAATTAGATACTAGATCAGATGAGGGTGATTTCTTATATGTCCAGATCTGACAGTGTGGAATGACTCTGTGACCAAAATCGGGGACTGACTCCCAGCCTGAGAGGAACCCATCCACGTGTCATGGGCAAAGCAGCCAGAAATTGCTGCCTTTCCTATAATAGGGATCGGGAGGCCCTGCTGAGTTACCATACAGGGGCAGCAGCAGAGAAAACATCCAAGGCTCTCAAAGGCACTGGTCCCAAAAGACATCATCAAGAGGGTCTGGACTGCACATAACGATGAGCTTTTTGCTAAGCAGATGTCATCTGTCAGAGTAAGTGAGAAACAGAGAGACAGGCAGAAAATTTCTCCCAATGCTTCCAAATGGCTGAAATTCATCTTAGGGATTGAGGCAGGATCAAAGGCAAGTGGAGAAAATGTTTTGTCCTTACTCGGGTTTCTACCAAGTTAGGCTGCAGAAGAAAACTGCACAAGTGTGTCTTTTATACCATTAAAAAGTCAGATTTTGTAGTGCCACTTAGGCCAGTACCTCTTTTATTTGCTTTAGAACTGCTTCTTCTCCAAACTTCTTGAAACCATTGCTACTCCTCAGAGTTTGCTGCTCAGTAAAAAACAAAACTGAGGCCATCAAGCAAGAGTCCCTTGCCCTCACTTGCCTCCATAAAACCTTCCTCCCTCCGTTCTCGAGACAGGAAGCATTGCTTCTCCCATCCAAGACTAAAACTTCTCCCTGTTATCTTACCCCTATCTCTCTTACCTATTTCAGTCACTTCCTTCATTGATTCCTTTTCTCTTCTGTAACTTCCACCAATCCTCTGTGTTGGTTCCTTCCTCTTCATCTATAAACTTATTCCATTCTTCTCTAACCTAAAAAAAACCCTCCCTTAATGTTGCATCCTCCCCCAGTCACCACCCTTCTCTTTCTTTTCACAGCTCAGCGTCTCCAGAATGTGGAATCCTCATAGCTACTCTTTCCTTTCCATCTGTCCACCCACTGACCCACTGCCTCCTGCCTCCATTGTTTCACTGTAACTGCCATCCTGTGGGTGAAAATACCTCCCACTCTCCAGACCCAGTAGATCTAGCATTTCAGCTATTCCTGACCAGAAGACAGAAGCAGAGCTTCAAATCAGAATGTTAGGTCAGCATCCTCACTCAAACAAGTAGTAGTAGATGGTGTAATCTTGGGCTAGTTAGTTAACCTTCCTAGCCTCGGTTTCTTCTTTTGTAAAACAGTGATAATAATGACTAGCTTGGAAGGTATGCAATAATTTATGGAATAGGTGCTTAATTAGTAGGTGCAATAATTAGCAATAATTTATGGAGTAGGTGCTCCCTATTTTTTATTAATATTATCATCATGATTATATCTTTCTTGACCTGCTGTGACATTTGACTTTGTAGCTAACCCTTCACACTTAAAGCTCCTGAATGGCTTCCAAGATATCACATGCTACTGCTTCTCCTCTAATAATCATTATTTTGTATTTTCTAGCTGAACTGTCTTCTTTTCCCTGGCAATTAAATAACTGGTGTTTTCTGGGATCTCTTCTTCACTCATTCTAGGCATTTTCATTGCAATTCTTGTTCTTTTGGCTTAAATACCCATTTAAAAGCTATACCCAAAGGCCCCTAGCCCTTATTAATCCGTAGGGATTGAAGGATATAGGTAAAAATTCCTCTGGATATATCCACATGATTTCTCAGGGGGCATCTTTTCTGGAATGTTTCAGTTGACATCAGTGTTTGCACAATTCCCTGTCCATACCCCAGCGCCCACATCCGAGTTTTTTAAACACAAAAAGTTGAATTGTCAAAGGAGACTCACAGAGTTATAGATCCTACCCAATATTAAACAGCACTAATAATTCCAAGGAAACAGAAAATCAACAGGCACAAGTGAAATGTGAATTTCTTGGAGGAATCTGACAAAGTGAGGCACAGATCCCAAAAGGCTATTTTTCTTTTTCATTTAATTGAATATTTGTTTCAGGCAAGTTTCTTCCTAAGCAATGTGTATAGAGAAACTTCACACAAAGAGATCCAGTCCTACATTAGAACAGTCCATTTTATATTCTCTCAGTTACAGTTTATGGTATGACCCTTCATTTTTCAGCCATTCATGACCTACAAATACATAAATTCCAATTTTGTGTTATGATAAATAATCAAGAGAAACCAGACATATCCCATTAAAAAATTTATAGGTCAGGACCCCCTGGTATAATTCCACCTATCAACACCATTACTATGTTTACCAGGGGGCCTTGTCTTTAGGTCATTACCATATTCACATAAAGATTGGACTGAATTCATTACTTCTGGATGTCTCAGTCCTGCTGTTAATTTTTTCCTTTCCATAACAGATCTTAAAGTTCCACATTCTCTATTTGTCACAGTTTTGTCAGACAACAAGAAACTAAATGCTTCCTTAGAATGGGCTACTTAATTTAGATTATTAAAAGTTTATTGAATCTTTCCTGTGAGAGGGTGGTTTTGTAGGGGACAAGGGGAAGAATTCACACACATTTGATACCTATCATAATGTACACACTGTTGTTCTATATACTTTATTAGTTTGTTTTATTTGAAACAGATTAATGTAATTAGAAGTTATAAAAATCTTTTTGAAATTAATCCATTTTCATAAATAAAATAATTACCTGCTTTGAAATGTGTAACTCCTCAGAAAAGGTAGCTCTATTTTTGTTTGCAGCGCTTAGCAATGTGTGTTTTAGCATACCACATCCCCCGCCACCACTGATTTTGATATACACTCAAATTGAAGAATGGTTAGAAAAGTTTGTGATATAATTTCAAAGATGTAAGCAATCTCCAATCTTGCTTAAAATTCCAAATCAATGTGTTAATTCTCTTGACTATTAATCAAAAGTCAACATTTAAAGTCATATCAGGAGTGGGGATCGGAATGGGGATGAGAATACACTTGTGAAAAAGGAGAACCAAGAAAGCTACAGAATAAAATGAGACAACATATGAATTATGATTTGAGGGTAGGAGCAAGAAGCCAATAGCAGATCATTGCCAATTCCTAGAACAGAAATAATGGATGGCCAAATAGTACTGTAGGAATAGAAACAAGGGGTAAGAGACAGTAGACATTCCCCCCAGAATTCAGCACCAGGGTAGTGGAGGGCCTTAAGTCATCAATGCAATCAATCTAGTATAACTATTATTTGTCAGTGGTTATTAGTAAGCAAATACTCTTTCCATTTAGGGATTATCCCCAAATAAGTATAATGCAAAGCCTAGTTTCAGTCATGGAAGATAAAAGGAGCAGACATTCTCTTTCCTCACAGACATTCTCTTTCCTCACTCCCTGGCACGCAGGGCATGATCACGTGGCCTAGTTTGGGACAATGGGATGATCCCTTCCAGGATATTGAAAGACCCAGACCATGGCTGCTGTGGGAGTGGGGGCCAAAGTTCCCTGAGAAGTGTCCGGTAGTCTGCAATGGTGCCCTAATAGGAGTCCATGATTTAGCCAGCCACCTAGCTACCCTTGACTACTGTTCATTTCTGAAACTTGTTTCTCTAGAACTTTTGTTCATTCTTAAAGCGAACCAAGATATTTCAAATACATGAATTTTTTTACTTAAGTTAGCTAAAGTCATATTTGGTAGTTTTCACCATGAAGTCTATGGTCTGCCACCCCAGGTCTTCCATAAGGCAACCCACATGGTCCTACCTTCTGTGGAGCACAGTCATTGCTGCATTCTGAAAGCCCCTGGGTTAAACAGATGTTTCTCGAGAGCAGCTGATATCAGCTAGGTAAGGAGCATCACCATCATATAATTAACAAGATGTGCATGTATCTTAACAGTCAATTTTAATTTTCAAATCAGAGCCTACTAACACAAAAGAATCTCCCTTGGAAAGAATATACACATACATATAACTAGCTAGCTAGATAGACAGACAATCAGACTGATTGATTATTCATTCAACATTTATTGTGTTCTTATTATGGACCAAACTTCTTAGGTCTTAGGCATAAAAAGACAAAGAAGATACCACCCCTCCCTTTCAGGAGCTCACAATCTTGGTAAGAGACTGAAATGTGATCGGGTTATGGCAATAACTTTTCTAGGTGCCAAGATGGCAATATTCTTAGAGGACTCAGAATGTCACAGGACAGCCGAGTGCTGTGGCTCACGCCTGTAATCCCAGCACTTGCGGAGGCAGATGTGGGTGGATCACCTGAGGCCAGGAGTTCGAGACCAGCCTGGCCAACATGTCTCTACTAAAAATACAAAAATTAGCTGGGCGTGGTGGCATATGCCTGTAATCCCAGCTACTTGAGAGGCTGAGCAGGAGAATTGCTTGAACCTGGGAGGCAGAGGTTGCAGCCTGGATCACACCACTGCACTCCAAACTCCAAACTGGGTGACAGAGTGAGGCTCATCTCCAAAAAAATAAAAAATAGAAAATAAAATAAAATAAAAAGTCACAGGACAGGTGACTTTTCAGCAGGGTTTAAGGGAGTAAGAATTTTTCAGACATATAAGAAATAGTAAAAATACTCATGAGTACAAGAAAACACTTTAAAGGAAATGAACTTTTGAGTCATACACAAGGCCATTCATCCACTACTTATTTGTTGATATTTAAATTTCTATTTTCTGACCTCTAACTCAGTGATTCCTCAAGAATTCTCCATTTAATAAGGATTAAATGAGAAAACACAGAGGAGGTACCTGAGATGATGTGGGCATTTACTTAACGTTGGTTCCTTTCTTTTGTTATTGATGTGTTTAAGAACACTTTTCATCAAGGCTGTGGTCAGATTCCAAGGAAGCCCCCTGCTTTTTTTACTGATGCATTGTATTTGCATATATTTAAGTGTGCATGTGATGTTTGTTACATGCATAGACTGTGTAGAAATCAAGTCAGCATATTTGGGGTGCCCATCACTTCAAGTATTTATCATTTCTATGTGTTGTGAACATTTCAAGTCCTCTCTTCTAGCTATTTTGAAGTATACAATATATTGTTGTTAATTATAGTCACCCTCCTCTGCTATTGAACATTAGAACTCATTACTTCTATCTGAATGTTTGTATCCTATTAATCAACCTCTCTTCATCTTCCCTCCCTCCCTCACACACACAAACCCTTTCTAGCCTCTGATATCTATTCTTCTACTCTCAGGCTCCATGAGATCAACTTTTTTAGCTCCCACATGTAAATGAGAATATGCACATTTCATTTAACACAGTGACACTTGTTGCTGCACATGACATGATTTTATTAGTTTTTATGGTAGAATAGTATTCTATTGTGTATATATACCACATTTTCTTTATTCATTCATCCTCTGATGGACACATAGGTTGATGCCATATCTTGGCTATTGTGAATAGTGCTGCAATAAGCATAGTAATGCAAGTATTCCTTTGATGTCCTGTTTTACTTTTCATTTGGATAAATACCTAGTGGTAGGATTGCCAGATCAAATGGTAGTTCTATTCGTAGTTTTTTGAGGAATCTCCGTACTGTCTTCCATAGTGGTTGTACTAATTTACATTCCTACAAAGTTCCCTTCTCTCGGCATCCTCTCCAGCATCTATTTTTTTTTTTTTTTTTTGTAATAGCCATTTTAACTAGGGGGAGATATTTCATTGTGTGAAGTTCACTGCTTTATAGAAAGTCCTTTTCTTCTTCTTCTGTTAAAATAATTTACCTGAAAATGTTTTTTTAAATGTATTACTCGGGTAGAAGAACACACAGTAGGAATTGTAACTGAAAAAGTAGTAAAGTAAATTATTAAAGAGGAGGACAAGAAAACACTGGAAGTCTTTTATGCAGTTACCAAATTAAAGGATGGCACACCTCTACTATCCAGGATCAAGTTCTGTCTAGCACTCTCCTTGTTGTTTTATATGAGGAACTAGGAGCTGGAAACCATGCAAAGCACAGCCCAAGCCTCATAGTATCTTCCACTATTTTTCTTCCTCTAGTTTTCAGCCCCACTGCTATAGGAATTTTAATCCCCAGTGTTGGAGGTGGGGCCTGGTAGGAGGTGTTTAGATCATGTGGGTGGATCCTTCGTGAATGGCTTGGGCCATCCCTTTGGTAATACCTGAGCTCTTGCTCTGATTTCACAGGAGAGCTGGTCCTTTAAAACTATGTGGCACTGGCTGGGTGCAGTGGCTCACACCTGTAATCCCAGCACTTTGGGAGGCTGAGGTGGGTGGATTATGCAGTCAAGAGATTGAGACCATCCTGGCCAACATGGTGAAACCCCATCTCTACTAAAAATGCAAAAATTAGCTGGGCATAGTGGCACATGCCTGTAGTCCCAGCTACTCGAGAGGCTGAGGCAGGAGAATCGCTTGAACCCAGCAGGCGGAGTTTGCAGTAAGCCGAGATTGCGCCAGCGCACTCCAGCCTGGGTGACAGAGCAAGACACAGTCTCAAAACAATAACAGCAACAACAAAAAACAAAGAAAACAAACCTGTGGCACCTTTCCCTAACTCTGTCTCTCTCACTTGCTCCTGTTTTTGCCATGTGACATGCCTGCTCCCTCTTCCCCTTCTGCCATGATTGTAAGCTTCCTGAGGCCCTCCTACAAGCTGAGCAGATCCCAGTACCATGCTTCCTGTAAGACCTACAGAACCATGAGCCAATTAAACCTCTTTCTTTAAAAATTACCCAGTTTTAGGTATTTATAGCAATCCAAGAATGGCCTAATACACCCACCAACCCCAAATCATTTCTTATTTCAAATTAAAAGCTGAATGGATTCTAGAAAAGTGACCACAGAGCAGGTATGACAGTGTAGGATTTTTTTTAAACATGAAATTCTGGAAATGTTGTTTTTCTTTAATGTAGGAGGAAAATAGCATTTGGCTTAAAATTGTTTTCCTGACATGTTATTTCATAATAATAATGCTCATATACTTTCCAAATGATTAAAATGAAACTGTTTTAATCCCTGTCACTTAACATTAACATTAACATTAACTTTAGTCCCTGTCACTTAAACATTAGGCTGCTATTGGTCTCTGTCTTTTGTTTACAACCCTTTACATACTATCTGTGGTTTCTATGCTACTCTCTTCTTTATAGTAGTGTTTATAACCAGCAAAAGCTTAAAATTAATGAAAGCAAATAAATTGAATATTAAAATATACAAAACTTTTAAAAGTAGAAATGGAAAATGATATGCTTCTTTTAACAACAACAGGAAAATTAATTTACTAGCAGTGTCTAATCTCCATATGCCTTCTGATTTTATTCTTACACATAAGAGGTATTTTCTAAATGGAAAAGTATTTGGCATAATGCAAGGGCATGTGAGATTTTACTCTCTGGCACTCCTTGCTGAAGTATTAACATCAGCTTTTATATGGTAGGAAATAAGATTAAGGGTAGTGGAAGCAGTACTATGTGGGGTGAAGTCAATAAAACCTCAAAAAGTCTAAGTACGTTTAGATGAAAACCACTTAATTCACACAAGTCTTAACCATGGTAAGTCCGGCATCTCCTTAGCTCCGTTTCCCCTAAGTCATTTATGAATGTTCCAGCACCTTGGCTGTGTGGCATTACAAGGGGTAAGCCCATTTTCTCCAACTCTGCTATGCAAAGCACAAAGGCATATCCTCCAGAGCCAGTCAAGACAGAAGTCTCTCATTGGCTGCAGTTACTGGATAATTCTTACTCTCACAGTCTTCTACATAGGGCAGCATAACGTGGGATAAATTCTTTTGTCTCTTGGATATAAAATGGTCATTTTAACCCTCTAGTGACAATAAACGATCCTCTATCTTGTATGCCTTTCAAAACTGACAGTTAAAAGTAAAAAAAAAAAAAAAAAAAAAAAAAATTTGCACCTTCTAGGCGTGTTCAAATATTTAGGATAAAAGAGAAAATCAGAACAGGACAATTCTTTTAATATCCTGTGATAGAGAATTTTCCTATTGAAAATGTTTATTAAAGGAAAATCTCCTTTACCTGCTGTCTTTATTAGAACTATATCCTTTTTCGCAATGGAGGAACCAAGGAGACTGAGAGTTATCAGCATAGTTTTATTAAATTAAAACACATACAGCTAAAATTCAAAATTACCATGATGTTGGGGGTATATTCAATTAACTATATTATCCAACAAAATATATTTTTATTAATTATTTATAATAATAATATTATTTTATAATAAAACTATTCTCATTGTATTAGTTATCAATTACTGTGTAACAAATTACCTCAGAAAATATATTAATATATTGCTTGATATGGTTTGGCTTTGTTTTCCCCTTCAAATCTCATGTCAAACTGTAATCCCCACATGTTAGAGGAGGGGCCTGGTGGGAGGTGATTGAACTATGGGGGCAGACCTCCCCCGGCTTGCTGTTCTCATGATAGTGAATGGGTTCTCATGAGGTCTGGTTGTTTAAAGGGTGTAGCACATCCCTCTTAACTCTCTCTCCCGCTGCCTTATGAAGAAGGCAATTGCTTCCCCTTCACCTTCCACCATGATTGTAAGTTTCTGAGACCTCCCCAGCAATGGCTCTTGTATAGCCTGTAGAACTGTGAATCAATTGAACTTCTTTTCTGTATAAACTACCCAGTCTCAGGTAGTTCTTTATAGCAATGTGAGAACGGACTAATACATTGCTGTTCAAAAAATAACCCTCAAAACTTAAAACAAAAAACATTCACTATTTCATAGTTTCTGTGAGCCAGATATTTGGGAGGCTTAGCTGGTCAGTTCTGGTGTGGGGTCATTCATGAGGTTGCAGTCCAGGTGCCATCAGGGCTACCGTCATCTGAGGGCTGGACGAGGCTAGAGGACCTGCTTCCACGATGTGCACTCACTTGACTGGCAACATGGTGCTAGCTGTTGGCCAGAAGTCTTTGTTCCTCACCACCTGGTCCTCTTCGTGGTGCTGCATGAGCATCCTCACAACATGGTAGCTGGCTCCCCTCAGAGCCACGGATTCCAAGGGAGCCAGATGGAAGCTGCAATGAGCTTTATAACCTAGCTTTGGAATTCACATGCGATGATTTTCTCGACATCCTTTTGGTTATAGAAATCAGCCTTGTTTGATATGGAAGGAAACCACAGGAGGCCATAAAGACTAAGAGGTGGGGTTTTTGGGGAGCCATCTTGGAGGTCAGCCACTATACCCATTTACAAAGGAAAGGAGATTTTTAAATGTGTATTATATTTTTTCAACAATACTTACAATTCTATGTTTAACTGGTTTAAATATTCATCATTAGATCTCTTACGCCATTACTTTCCCAGTCTGGAGATGTTTTTATTTTTATTCTATTCTCTAGTGTTTTCATTTTTCCAGAAAGGGTATCATGATATATAGGCTCTACATCTTTGCATAGAAGAGAATGTCTTTCTCTTATCTAATATACATTGGCTCTTTTGGCATTCATTTCAACCTCCTTCTAGCTAACTGACAGGTATTTTATATAACAATTTTTCTCAAATTATCCGTGGTACATACCAGTTTCTTTTCAATCTGCCACAGATCAATACTTTTGTAATATACAACAAGAAAAAAAACAACAAAATTTAAAACACAAAAAATAAACCTCACTTAAAAATTATCATATTCAACAGACTCTACTACTCTGTTAAATAGATAAAGGATTTCTAAAGAACTACTCTTAATTTCTGTACGTACCATTTCTTTGACAACTAGCAAAATGAGACCTGCCGCTGGTCCATGAAACACACTTTAAATAGCACTGCTATGTGGCTAGAAAGCTGAATACTACATTTCCCAGACTTCCTTGCAGCCAGGGTTTTGCATGTGATCTTCCTGTCAATCAGAAATACCCTTCAATATGAAGAAGTGAAAATGAAACCATAAGTCCATGGACACATGGGAGACAGACGAATTTCTGGCAAGTATATCCCAAATACAGCAGACAAATATTAGATAATATCACTGATATGGTTTGGCTATGTCCCCATACAAATCTCTTCTTGAATTGTAGCTCCCCTAATCCTCACATGTCATGGGAGGGACCTGGTTGGAAGGTAATTGAATCATGGGGCGGGTTTTTCCTGTGCTGTTCTTGTGATAGTGAATAAGTCTCAAGAAATCTGATGGTTTTATAAAGGGCAGTTCCCCTGCACATGCTCTCTTGCTTGCCTCCATGTAAGACATGCCTTTGCTCCTCCTTCACCTTCTGCCATGATTGCGAGGCCTCTACAGTCATGTGGAACTGTGAGTCTATTAAACCTCTTTCCTTTATAAATTACCCAGTCTGTGGTATGACTTTATTAGCAGCATGAGAACGGACTAATATAATCATCTATATGTGGAATCTAAACATGTTAAATGTGGTGAGTACAGCATGGTAAATACAGTTAGCAGTAATGTATGGCAAATGGTAATTATAGTTAATAATAATGTATGATAAACATAATTTGCTAAGAGAGTAACTTACAAGTATTCTCACCACACACACATACTTGGTAACTACATAAAATGATGGATACATACATTAGTTTGATTGTGGAATCATTACAAGAGGTAATATGTACTTCTATCAAAACACCATGTCGCATACCTTAAATACATGTAATTTTTTATTTGTCAACTGTACCTCAATAAAGCAGGGAGGGGCAAAGCATGGGCATGTCCTGTGTTATTACGGTTCACTTTATTGCACTCCACAAATACTGTGTTTTTTACAAATTGAAAGTTTGTGGCAACCCTGTATTGAGCAAGTCTGTCCACGCCAGAGTTTTCTTTTTTTTTTGTTATGTTTTTGAGATGGAGTCTTGCTTCTCTGACCAGGCTGGAGTGCAGTGGTGCAATCTTGGCTCACTGCAACTTCCGCCTCCCAGGTTCAAGCAATTCTCCTGCCTCAGCCACCCCAGTAGCTAGGATTATAGGCATGTGCCACCAGGCCTGGCTAATTTTTGTATTTTTAGTAGAGACATTTCACCATGTTGGCCAGGCTGGTATCAAACTCCTGACCTCAAGTGATCCACCCACCTCGGCCTCCCAAAGTGCTGGGATTATAGGCGTGAGCCACTGCTCCCAGCCATCTCTGTCCATGCCAGTGTTTTCAATGCCATGTGCTCGCTTTGTGTTTCTGTATCACATTTTGGTAATTCTCACTGTTTCATACTTTTTCATTATTATTATATCTGTTATGGTGATCTGTGATGTTGCTATTGTAATTTTTTGGGGTGTGACACAAACTGTGCCCATATAAGATGGGGAAATTAATCAATAAACGTTGTGTGTGTTCTGACTGCTCTACCAACCAACGGTTCCCCCATCTCTCTCCCTCTCCTCAGGCCTCTCTAATCCTTGAGACACAACAATATGGAAATTAGGTAGATTAATAACCCTAAAATGGCCTTTAAGTCTTCAAGTTAAAGGAAGAGTCACACATCTCTTACTTTAAATCAAAAGCTAAAAATTATTAAGCTTACTAAGGAAGGCACGTTAAAAGCTGAGACGGGCCAAAAGTTATTCTCCTTGTGCCAAACAGTGAAGTTGTGAATGCAAAGAAAAAGTTTTTGAAGGAAATTAAAAATGCTATTCCAGTGAACAAATGATAAGAAAATAAAACAATCTTCTTGCTGGTATGGAGAAAGTTTGAGTGGTCTGGATGGAAAATGAAACCAGCCTCAATGTTTCCTTAAGCCAAAGCCTAATCCAGAGCAAAGTCCTAACTCTCTTCAATTCCATTAAGGCTGAAAAAGATAAGGAAGCTGCAGAAGAAAGATTGAAGCTAGCAGAGGTTGTTTCATGAGGTTTGAGGAAAGGAGCTATCTCCATAACATAAAAATGCAATGTAAAGCAGCAAGTGCTGACAGAGAAGTTGCAGCAAGTTATCCAGATCTAGGTAAGCTGATTGATGAAGGTGGCTCACTAAACAAAAGATTTTCATTGTAGACAAAGCAGCTGTCTATTGGAAAACAATGCCATCTAGGACTTTCATAAGGAGAAGTCAATTCCTGGCTTCAAAGATTCAAAGAACAGGCTGAGGCTCTTGTTAGGGACTAATGCAGCTCGTGAGTTTAAGTTGAAGCCAATGCTCATTTATCATTCCAAAAATCCTAGGACTCTTAAGAATTATGCTAAATCTACTCTGCCTGTGCTCTAGAAATGGATCACAAAGCCTGGATAATGACACATCTGTTTACCATGGTTTACTGAATCTTCTAAGCCAACTATTGAGACCTCCTGCTCAGAAAAAAAGATCCTTTTTAAAGCATTACTGCTCATTGACAATACAACTGGTCACCCAAGACCTCTGATGGAGATGTACAAGGAGATTAATCTTGTTTTCATAGCTGCTAACACAATATCTATTTGGAAGCTCATGATTCAAAGAGTAATTTTGATCTTCCAGTCTTGTTAAGAAATATGTTTTGTAAGGCTTTATCTGCTATAGATAGTGATTCCTCTAATGGATCTAGGTAAAGTAAATTGAAAACCTTCTGGAAAAGATTCACAATGCTAGATGCCATTAAAAACATTCATAATTCATAGGAGGAGGCAAAAATATCAACATGATCAGGAGATTGGAAGAAGTTGATTCCAACCCTCATGGATGACTTTGGGGGGTTTAAGACTTTATTGGAAGAAGCCACTGCAGATACAGTGGAAATAGCAAGAGAACTAGAATTAAAAGTGAAGCCTGAAGGTGTGACTGAATTGCTGCAATCTCTTGATAAAACTTTAATGGTTGAGGAGTTGCTTCTTATGAATAACCAAAGAAACTGGTTTCTTGAGATGGAATCTACTGCAGAAGATGCAGTGAACATTATTAAATGACAATAAAAAATTAAGAATATTACATAATTTAGTTGTTAAAGCCATGGCAGGATTTCAGAGGATTGACTCCAACTTTTTTTTTTTTTTAAGAAAAAAAACAGGAGATGTATTCAAACTACAAATACTTGACTTGAAGGAAAAACTATCTAGGATTCTTTTTCTTTTTTACAGTAATGTATCCCTACTTAAAGACAGATGGCCCTACATATAACAGCTATGTACAAAACTAGTTGTAAAATTGTTATTGGTTTTACAGTGATAAATGTAAAACTAAAAAAATCTGTATGACTCATTTTGCTGGGATATACACTTTATTGCAGTGACCTAGGACTGAACCCACAATACCGCTGAACTATGTATGTGTGTCACAGGAGCACTCAGATCTGGAACAGATGGATCAGAGACACTGGGTTTCTCTTGCTACTGTATAGCTGCCAAAGAGTGGGTGGGTGTGGTTAGTTGTTTTCTCAGACTGCTTGGTTCTTGAGTGTATAATGGTCCTCCCAAAAATTCTGTAGATGACCAAGGATCTTTTAACAAAGACTTGTCTGCTAAAACTACCTAGAGAAGATTCTCTTGTCTGCCACTAGGAAACCTGATTGATACAACTGGCTACCTGAGTCTTCCATTACAGTCTTTTCTCCATAAGCCACTGTAGATAATGCACCATTGGTTTCCAATTTTTAAAAGCTGTAGAGAACTCATGTGAGGAATTTTCTTTTTTACTTGCTATTTTTTTCCCTCTTTGATTCTTGTAAAAATTTGTTTCTCTCTCCTTGAAATAAAAATGCCACCAAAAATATATATTTCTTACATATTTTTCTTTAATTTGATCCCATTTATTATAAGCTCCTTAGAAATAATTTCTCCTCTTAGATTTAATTTCTCCTCTGGCTTTAAAAAGCAAAATAACTTTATTATTTTTTCATTATTATTGTTATTATTTTATTTTTTTGAGATGGAGTTTCCCTCTTGTCACCCAGCCTGGAGTGCAATGGCATGATGTCGGCTCACTGCAACATCTGTCTCCCAGGTTCAAGAGATTCTCCTGCCTCAGCCTCCCCAGCAGCTGGGATTACAGGCGCCCACCATCACACCCGGCTAATTTTCGTATTTTTAGTAGAGATGGGATTTCACCATGTCAGTCAGGGTGGTCTCGAACTCCTGACCTCAGGTGATCCGCCTGCCTTGGCCTCCCAAACTGCTGGGATTACAGGAGTGTTTTTTTCATTATTTAATCTGATTTTTTACATTATAGATAAATAAATTATTGGGTTATTTGCTTTCTTTTTCTTCTCTATATCTTTCATTTCTCTACTCATCTTTTTAAGTCCTAGAACTTTACCTCTGCATTCTTGGAGTTTTCCAAATTAGAGACTTGCTTTTCTGCAATGTCTTATTATTTCTAAGAAGGATTATTTTACGCATGGAGTATTTTGAATATTTTAAAAGTGGATATAATTGCATAATGAACCCCCATGTATTTCATCCATCCTTAACACCCATCCATCCATCTATCCATTAACACCTTTTATTATCTCTTATCTCCATTTATTGACTAAGACTGATTTTAATTATCCTTTATAGATTTCTCTAAGCTCTTACCATATTCTGGTCTTTTACATTTCCTGTCTTCCTTTAATCCATTTCCTTTTTACTTGAACTTGTCTTACTTTATATTTGAGTTTTATTTTTTAGAATGTATGATTTCCTGAATGTCATTAAAGGTGTGAAGATTATGCTTTTCATCTTTATGTTTATTTTCTAGACTTTAGAGTATTTTTTAAGTACATGGGCTTGCTCCATATCTTAGGGATGATACATCTAATCTTTTATTTACTCCATCTTTTTTATAGCCTCTTTTTATCCTGACTAGTCATCCTTGAATTTGGAGTTGTCCATGAAGTTCTTCTACTGTCCAGAAAGAGGGCGCACACTTCCTTAGTTCCCATCAGCGTGGTGGGAAAGATTCCTACAGAGGCTGAAGAAATAACATTCTGGTGCTTTTTAATGCTTATCAATGCAGATCTTTCACCTGGGGAGCAATCTGTTGTTCCCACTACAATAAAAAATATGGAGTTTCTTTGATAAAAAATCTTAATTTGTCTCTCCTTCTCCTTCTTCTTCCTCTTCCTTGCTGGAAGACATGCATGTCTGGCCACTGTAAATATGTGTGTTAAAAGGTGCTGCTAGAGTCTATTTTTTTCTAACTGCTCAATTCAGAATTCAAATATAATCACCATCTTCCATCCCTCAAGCCCCACCTGCTTTCATCCTCATGTTTATTACTTTGGTGCACTTTGATTTAGTGCCACAGATCACTGTTATAAACATCTTAACACCTTCATGAGGGTGGTGGTGACATGAAAGGGCTCTGCTAGAAAACAGCTCCCAAGTAATAGCTACATGGGTGGGGGTGGGGGCTCCTTCCCTTTAGGGACCAAATTCCTTGATCTATGAGTTAGGTACAGAGTAGGGATAGACAGGGAGAAATCTTTTTCTTTGCTTTTCCCCTAGATGGCTCCACCATGCTGCCTCACACACTCATCCTAGGTTTGGATAAAGAAATCTCCTTTAATTTTAAGATTAGAGTGAAAACAAGATAGTCCAAGGTGATTAAAAAGACTCATTATAGGCTGTGCTCTATGTTAAGTATTATTCATGGGTCATCTCACTATACCCCCACGCTATGAGGCAGGTACTATTATTATCCCCATTTTATAAGTGAGTAAGCTGTCTCTTAGAAAGGTTAAGGATATTAATCAGGGTCATGTAGCTAATAAAGAGTAGAGGAAACTTTCAAATCCAGTGAGCCCACTTTGGCAGCTCAGGCTCTTGTTGTTGTTGTTGTTTTAACTATGCTAGGCACCTTATATACATTTTCGTGTTTAATAATAATCATTTTTATTTAAAGATTACAAAATTTTGGAATGTTAACAAATGCATAGAAGGTAGAAAAAGTAGGCAATATCAAAAAGTCTCCTTATCATCCTTATTGACTACATGGGCTGAGCATGGTGGCTCATTCTTGTAATCCTAGCACCTTGGGAAGCTGAGGTGGGAGGATCACTTGAGCTCAGGTATTTGACACTAGCCTGGGCAACATAGTGAGACCCTCATCTCTACAAAAAATAAGAATAATAGCCAGGCATGGTGCTGCGCACCGGTGGTCCCAGCTACTTGAGAGGCTGAGGCAGGAGGATCACTTGAGTGAGCCTAGGAGATTAAGCTGCGGTGAGCCACGGTCGCAGCACTGCACTCCAGCCTGGGTGACAGAGCAAAACCCTGTCTCAAAAATAAAATAATTTTTTAATTTAAAAAAATTTAAAAATTATGTCACTCCATTATTCTTCCATTTCAAATGTATAATTTTGAGATATATATACATGGTCTACACCTCATTTTTGTCCTTTAACAATATATCTTGGAGATTCTTTTCACTCCAAATCATAAAATTCTTTACCCTGATACCAAAACCAGACAAGGACACACCACAAACAGCAACAAAACTATAGGCCAATAACGCAGATGAAAATACATGCAAAAATCCTTGAGAAAATACTAGCAAGCCAAATTCAACAACACGTCATAAAGATGATACACCATATTCAAATGGGATTCATTCTAGGGGTGAAAGAATGGTTCTACATATGCAAATTGATCAATAGGATACATCACATCAACAGAATGAAGGACAAAACCATACAATCACTTCAACAGACACAGAAAAAGCATCTAATAAAATTGAATACCTCCTTATGATAAGAACGCTAAAAAATTTAGAAGGAATACACTTCAACACAATAAAGGCTATATTCAACAAACCCACAGCTAACATCTTACTGAATGGGGAAAAGCTGAAAGCCTTTCCTCTAAGAACTGGAACAAGAAAAGGATGCCCATTTTTACCACTCTTATTTAATGTAGGACTGGGAGTCCTAGCCAGAGCAATCAGGCAAGAGAAAAAAATAAAGGGCATCCAAATTGGAAAACAGAAAGTCAGATTGTTCCTTTGCAGATGATATGATCTTCTACCTAGAAAAACCTAAAAACCAAAATTCTCTGAAAAAGGAGCAATGAATGAAGTAAAGTTGCAGTACACAAAATCAACATACAAAAATCAGTAGCATTTCTATACATCAATCATAAAGTAGCTGAAAAGGAAATCATTGTCTTTATTTCTTTTTCAGTTACTTTATTATTCAGCTACAGGCAATGATTTCCTTTCCATTGGCAATCCAGTGAAAGCAATCCCATTTACAGTAGCTACAAAAAATAAAATACCAATGCCTAGGAATAAATTTAACCAAAGAAGTGAAAGGCCTCAATAATTAAAACTACAAAACATTGATGAAATAAACTGAAGAGGACACAGACAAATGGAAAGACACCCATGTTCATGGATTTGAGGAATTAATATTGTTAAAATGACAATACTACCCAAAGCAATCTACAGAATCAATGCAATCCCAGTAAAAATACCAATGACATTCTTCAAAAAAATAGAAAAAGCTGTAGTAACCAAAACAGCATAGTATTAGTATAAAAAGAGACACATAGACCAATGGAACAATATAGAGAAACCAGAAACAAATCCATATATTTACAGCCAACTAATGTTTTACAAAGGTGCCATGAACCTACACTGGGGAAAGGATATCCTCTTAAATAAATGGTGCTGGGAAAATGGATATCCATGTGCAGAAAAATGAAACTACATCCCCATCTCTCACCATACACAAAAATTCACTCAAAATACGTTAAAGACTTAAGCATAAGATCTGAAACGATAAAACTACTAGACTAGAAGAAAACAGGAGAAATGTCTTAGGTCTTGGTGAAGATTTTATTGCTAAGATTTCAAAAACACAGGCAACATAACAAAAATAGCTAAATTAGACTATATCAAATTAAAAAACTTCAGTATAGCAAAAGCAACAACGGAGTGAAGAGACAAGAAACAATCTATTTAACAGGAGAAAATATTAGCAAGCTATCCATTCAACAAAGGACTAATATCCAGAGCATAAAAGGAACTCAATACAACAGGTGGCTCATGCTTGCAATCCCAATACCATGGGAGGCCAAGGCAGGTGAATTGTTTCAGCCCAGGAGTCTGCCTGGGCAACATGGCAAAACCTCATCTCTACAAAAATTACAAAAATTAGCCAGGTGTGGTGGTGTACAGCTGCAGTTCCAGCTACTCAGAAGGCTAAAGTGGGAGGATTGCTTGAGCCTGGGAGGTCAAGGCTGCCGTGAGCCGTGATCGCACCACTGCACTCCAGCCTGGGTGACAGCAAGATTCTGTCTCAAAAAAAAAAAAAAAAAAAAAAAAAAAGTGTTGAACATCACTAATCAACAGGGAAATGATGCAAATCACAACCACAAAAATATATGATCTCACCCCAATTAGAATGGCTATTTTCAAAAAGACAAACAATAGCATTTGCTGACATGGATGCAGAAAAAAAGAACTCTTATACACTATTGATGGGACTGTAAATTGGTACAGCCATTATGGAAAACACTGTGAAGGTATTTCAAAAAACTCAAAATAGTACTGCTATATGATCCAGCAATCCCACTACTGGGTATTTATCCAAAGGAAAGGAAATCAGTATGTCAAAGGGATTCCTGCACTCCCATGTTTACTGCAGCACTATTCACAGTAGCTTAGATATGTAATTAACCTACATGTCCATCAATAGATGAATGGATAAAAACAATGTGATATATATACACAATGGAATACGATTCAGTCATAAAAACAGAATGAAATCCTGTCACTCGTGGTAATGTGAATAAGACTGAAAGATATTACATTAAGCAAAGTAAGTCAGACACAGAAAGATAAATACCACATGTTCTCATTCATATGTGAGAGCTGAAAAAAATTGAGCTCATTGAATGTGAGTAACAGAGGCTTGGAAGGGTAGGGGGTAGGGAAGAATGTGGAGAGATTAGTTAATGGGTACAAAATTACAGCTAGATAGGAGGAATGAGTTCTGCTGTTCTGCAGCACTGTAAGGTGAATATGGTTAACTATAATTTGTTGTATATTTTCAAAAGCTAGAAGACAGGATTTTGAATGTTCAAAGCACAAAGAAATGATAAGTGTTTGAGGTGATGGATATGCCAATTACCCTGATTTGATCATTACACATCGTATACAGTTATTGAGATATCACTTTGTATCCCATAAATATGTACCATTATTACCTGTTAACTAAAATTATTTTAAAGCATAAAATTTTGCCTTATTCTTTTTAATGCCTATACAACATTCCATTTTATGGGTATACCATTATTAACAGTGCCTTATTCTAATTTTTCAACTACTGTAAACATTAAAGCAAATAATAAACTTAGAAATATGTCACTTCACACATGCACACGTGTAACTGCAGAATATATTTCTTGATGTACTGATAATCAAAAGGGTTGGTAAAACCCACTTGAGGGTTTTAGTAATGGTGCTTGGGGGTGAGGCAGAGTGTGCTGATTACAGAGGTGATGGAAGTACTGGGAAGACACATGGGAATATGAAACAATCTGAGATTAGCTGCAGCAGGAAGGTGCTACCATCCTAGGCTGATGTGAGAGAGGGAAGAAGCAATGTTAGTGAAACCCAAGAGACAGGGGTTCCAGTGCAGGTTGGAACCATCATGGCATAGAAGAGCTGGAACCACACAGGGAGACAGGGCTACTAAGATATCATCTGCTCAAGAGGAAGAAGGATGACAGAAGGACCCTTCCTGCACCTTTCTAACCACCACCAGTGCCACCATAGGTGAAACCCTATCAGAGGCTGGCTGACCCACCCTGAGGTATAGAATCTGCAGGAATCAGCCTCACCTCACCTCTAATTCCAGGCAGAACAACAAAAAAAGGGTGACGGGAGAGATAAGAAATATATCTGTAGACAGTTAAGCCCAGGTCTGGTACAGTCAACCTTTCTATTTTTTAGTTCCCAATGCATGTTCACTCCAGTGAACATGTAGACATTTCTGCTCATCAATCCAGCCAAGGAAACACAAAGTTCCATCAGACATGGTATTCTCCTCGTGTTCAGGATTGCCAGACATAAGCAATCTTCGTGGATACATTCAAATGTGACTCTTTATGATTTTGTGAATTTGACACTCTTACAAAATAGTAGGGAATATAGAAGGGGAAAGAAAAAACCGTCTGATTAATATATAGAGTTTTTTTTTTCTTTTTTCTTTCTTTCTTTCTTTTTTTTTTTTTTTTTAAGAGACGGAGTCTCACTCTGTTGCCCAGGCTGGAGTGCAATGGCGCGATCTTGGCTCACTGCAACCTCCACCTCCTGGGTTCTAGCAATTCTCCTGCCTCAACCTCCCCAGTAGCTGGTACTACAGGCGCACCCCGCTATGTCTGGCTAATGTTTTGTATTTTAGCAGAGAAGGGTTTCACCATGTTGCCCAGGCTGGTCTTGAACTCCTGAGCTCAGGCAATCCACCTGCCTCATCCTCCCAAAGTGCTAGGATTTTTTTAAAAACACACATAGCTGTTATACCCCTCACTTCTTTAACTGGCCTTGATGTACAACCTTAAGATAATTATTTAAAGTTTCTTCTGTACCTGTGATTATTTCTTCTTTGTCATTTCCAAAGTTTATCTATGTTTGCTTTTTACTCTTTTCCTTGAAAGTCAGCTAAAAGTCTCTCTCTCTCTGGATTTATTTATTTCTGGATTTTTGCAGTGTGATCAGAGCATATTTTCGTTATTTTTACATTTCAAATATTACTTATATTTTCCTCTAAGGTCTAATATTCGATAACTTCTGTGAGTATTCCTGGGGTGCTTGTCTAGAAGAATTAATACTTGGTTTTTAGGCAAGAATCAATGTGTGTGTATATATAAATATGCATATGAACCCCTGCAATAAATTATATCATTTAAGTTTTGTAAATTTTTATTTTTGTCTACTTAATCTGTCATGGAATGAGATAAATAAATAAAAATATTAGGCCATAAAATTTTTATGTGAATTTCTCTGTATTTCTTATAGTTTCAGCTTCTAAAATATAAGTGCTATATTATTTGATGCATTCATATTCATAGGTCTTAGTTCTTCATTGTGGATTGCACATTTTATTATTATAATGTTCTATTTGGGAATTATCTAACATGTTTTAAACAGTTTTATTGGGATATAATTCACATATAATACAATTCAACCATTTAAAGTGTATAATCCAATGATTTCAGTGTATTTACAGATATGTGCAATTATACTCACAATCAAGTTTAGAACATTTTTATGATCTCAAAAAGAAAGCCTGAAATCTTTAGGTATCACTCTCCTATTCTCCCCTGCCTCACTCCCATCTGAGCCCTAAGCTACTACTAATTTACTTTCTGTCTCTGTAGATATACTCTTTCTGGACGTTTTGTATAGTCTTTTGCAACTAGCATTTTTGCTTAGCATGTTTTCAAGATTCATCACCCATGTTGTAACATGTATCATTCCATTGTGGTCAGAGAGGATACTTTGTACTATTTGAACGTTGTTAAATTTAGCAAGGTTTATTTTTGGCCCAGCATAAAGTCTATTTTGGAGAATGCAGAAGAATCAAGACAAATGTATAGTCTACTGTTGTTAGGTGTGGTCAATAAATGTTTGTTAAGTGTGGTTGCTCTGTAGTGTTGTTCAGGTCTCTGCTTCCTTGTTGATCTTTGAACTAGCTGTATTCATCGGAATACAGCAGAATATTCAAGTTTCCAAGTGTTTTGTTGTTGTTGATGATGATAACAAACTCCCTATTTCTCCTTTCATTTCTGTCAGTTCTTGCCTCTAGTATTTTGGTAGTCTTTTATTGTATACAAGCTTATAATTGTTATATCTTCCTGATGGATTGACCTTTTTATCATTATTAAATTTTCCTTTTTATCTCCAGTAACATTTATTTTTGTTTCAGAGCCAAATTTGTTTGATAGTAACACAGTGACTCCAGCTTTCTTATGGTTGCTGTGTGTATGATCCATCTTTTTCCAACTTTGATTTTCAGTGTAGTATTTTTGAGTCTAGAACGTGGCTCCTGTAAATAGCATATAATTGAATCTTTTTAAAAATCCAGTCTATTTCTGTCTTTTTATGGGGTTGTTCAATCCATTTACATGTAATGTGATTATTGATGTAGATGAATTTACATCTGTCATTTTACTTTTTGTTTTCTAAATGTCTCATTCTTTTTGTTCCTCTATTTTCCCTTTATTGCTTTCTTTTGTATGGAGTGAATATTTTCTTGTGTAGCATTTTAATTTCTTTAGTGATTTTTTTTTTTACTTTATTTCTTGGGTTATTCCTTTTGTGGTTGTTCCAGGACTTTAATTATAAACACCAAACTTAACAAAACCAGCTTCAGATTTATACTAAATTCCAGTGAGACAGTTTTTGTGCTATTATAACATCTACAAATGTTACAACCCCCCAATAAATTGTTATAAACAGAACTTTATGATTTTATGCTTTTTAAATAATCTAAAAGAAGAAAAGAGAGCAAGTATATATTTATAGATATTGCTATATTAATCTCCTCATTTATCATTTCCAAACCTCTATTTCTTCCTCTGGATTCAAGTTACCACCAGTAACTTCTTTCACCCACCTCCTTTGTGCTGTGTTTGGCAAAAACATTATTTTTTTATGTCATAGGTCAAACAATTCATTATATACATATTTTTATACAATTAATTTAAAAATAATTAATAGAATAAGGGACAGAAATACACATTTATAGTATTTATAATTACAAAATTATCATCACCTTTGCTCTTTATTTCTTCATGTGAATTTGAATTACCATATGGTGTCACTTGCTTTCAGCCTAAAGAACTTCCTTTCATATTTCTTATAAGGCAGTCCTCCCAGCAACATTTTTACTTACTTTTTTTTAATGAAAATTCTTCAGTTAACTTCCAGGTTTTGAAAGATAGCCCTGCTGATTATAGAATTCTTGATGAAGTGTGGTTTTCATTTTGAGCACTTTGAATGTTTTCCCATTGCCATCCGACCTCCATTGTTTCTGATGAAAATTCAGCAGTTAATTGTATCGGGAGTCTGTTTAAATGACAAGTTATTTTTCTCTTGCTGTTTCCAAGATTTTCTTTTTTCAGCCATCTTCTTGTCTTTGGTTAGCATTTTTACTATGAGATGCTTGTTTGTGGATCTCTTTCTATCCTGCTTGAGATTCCTGGCTGTATAGATCAATCTTTTTCAACAAATATTGGAAGTTTTTAGTCATTTCTTCAATTATTTTTATCCTTCTTTCTATCTATTCTCTCCTTCTGGTTCTCTCATTATACATATGTTGGTTTCCTTAATAGTGTAACACATTTCCCTGAGGATCTGTTCACTTTTTAAAAGAATAATTAATAGACTTTATTTTTAGTACAATTTTAGGTTTACAGAATATTTAAGGATATAGTACAAAGATTTCCATATACCCACTCCACCCAATTCCTCCACCCCAGCACACAATTTCCCCTATTATTAACATTTTGCACTGGTGTGGCACGTGTGTTACTGTTGATGAACTAATATTCATGCAATATTATTAACTGTAATCAGTAGTTTACCTTAAGGTTCTATGAACTCTAAGTTTAAACTGTTTACACTTCTTGTTATACAGTTCTATGGGATTTGACTAATTATGAAACATATCTATTACTGTATTTTCATACAGAATGTTTTTACCACCCTAAAAATCCCTTGGGCTTAATCTGTTCATCTCTCCCCCACCTTCCACCAAACTCCTGACAACTACTGGTCGTTTTACTGCTTCTATAGTTTTGCCTTTCCCAAAATGTCATATAGTTGAAATCATAATATGTAGCCTTTTTCAGATTGTCTTCTTTCACTCAGCAATATGAGTTAAGTCTCCCTCATGTCTTTTCATGGCTTGATAGCTTATTTCTTTTCTCCCCTCTGTTCTTCAACTTGTGTAATCAATTTTGATCTATCTTCAAGTTTACACATTCTTTCTTCTGCCAGTTCAAATATACTGTCGAGCCCCTCAAGAGAATTTTTCATTTTCATTTTATTTTTCCCTTCTAAAATTCCTACTTTGAAAAATAATTTCTCTTTATTGTTGTTTTTTATTTGATACAACATTGTCATTGTACCTTCTTTTACTCTTTAAATCATGATTTCTTTTTTTTTTTTACCATATTTATAATGGCTTCTTTGAAGTTTTGTTTGTTAAATCCAACATCTGGCTTATCTTACAGGTATTTTCAATTACCTGCTATATTTTCAGCGTATTGATCATGCTTTGCTGTTTTGTTTTTGTTTTGCATGTGTTGTAATATCTGTTGGAAACTGGACATTTTAGATAATATATAGTAGCCACTCTGAGTATCACCTCTGCTTTTCTAGGGCTTATTATTGTTATTTTATTGTCTTTTTATTTAGTAACTAGATCAGCTATTTTATTGGTATCTATTTTCCTCACGTATGATTAAACTTATGATGATAACCTTCAGGGGCTGCAGCCTTGGATGGGCCTATGGTCACCTTGGGTTAACTGGCTCCGACAGAGCTCTTTGACTATCACTTCTCTAATCATGCCCAGCTGTTAAGAGCCTTTAATTGCTGTCTGATTGCTCTGTTGTTTTCAATAGTATTCTAGGGCATAAACTGCTCTGCATACTAACACTGTCAAACTAAAGTCAGCATTTTAGATTTGTTCTGACCTCAGGAAAGATTTCCTTAGATGTCTCTTTCCCCATTTTCTCTGGAAAATCCCCTCATCCACAGTTTAATCTATATCTCCAGTGAGTAGCTAGTATTTTCCCAATTACCTTTCACCACAAACTTTATCCTTCTTGAGAATGCCCTCAGGATTAAACATCTTCATACTCTGTTGCAAACGAAGCCACTTCCTTTGTGAAGAAATTAGGAGTTATCTGTTTTAAGGCCTACTTTGACCTTCAGGCAGAATCACTGAGCCAAGGCTCTTGAACTGGCAAAAGGTAGCAGATAGCAGGCAGTATGGGACAGTGATGAGCTATTCTCTGAGTGACATCCCTGCTTTAGAAGCTGAACTTTAAGCAGAAGAGGAGACAGTAGTCTCAGCTGACCTCTGCTTGCTTCTCCTAGCATGAAACCATGGCCTTATAAATGGAGACAAGAGACCCCAGTAGTTTCAAAGGTGCTTTGCCCCAACAAGAGCCTCCGTCTTATCAGTGGAAGCTAGCAGGAGGAGGGAAACCTCCCTGTTGGCTAAACTTTCAGAGAACTTAGGCTCATCTACAGGTAGCTGAGGGCAGGGTGAGGAATGCTGAAATCCTTCCCCTCCCAGTAAGCTAGTCCTCCAAGCTAGGAAGTGGGTGTAGGAGGAGCCTTGGGTTCTTGGCTACACTACACTGGAGTGAAGTTTTTGTCTTGCTGAGCTGGGAGAGGGGAAGGAGAGAGTAGTCTTAGTTCAAATACCACAGATTCTCACTGTTTTTAGTGAATTTTGGCAGATTGTCTTGAATAGTTGTGTCATTTGCTGTATACTCTTAGAACAATTTCCAGAGACTGTAAATAGTATATATATATACACATATATATGTATAATTTTCACCAGCGTCACTGGGGAGTAGTCCCACTAAGTTTCTCATGTCATGCTAAAAGATGATCTTGTAATCATTCGACAGGTTCTTCCTGCCTGCTGCACAGAAAAAATTAATTCATGGAGACCATGGCATTGCCATACAGAAAGAGTTTAATTGAGGGAGGCCAGCCATGCCACTTAGGAGGTGTCATTATTACTCAAATCAATCTCTCCGAAGACTCAGAGGTGTTATAAATAAAGTTTCAGTGCTGCAAAAGAAATTGCACTCGAACATAAAATTTTCTTTTTAATTCTCAGCAAGGCAAGTGACTTCTATAGAAGGGTGCACCCTTACAGACCGAGCCACAGTGAGTGCACACTTGGACAAGGGAGGGGAAGGGGTACTTATCCCTGACGCATGTGGCCCCTACTGCTGTGTCGTTCCCCTATTGGCTAGGGTTAGACTGCACAGGCTACACTAATTCTGACTGGCTAATTTAAAGAGAGAGATGGGGTGAGTGGTTTAAAGAGAGAGATGGGGTGAGTGGGAAAAATGGTTATGATACAGCAGGTAATCGGAAAGAGTTGGGGTGGAGCAGGTAATCAAAAAAGGTTGCTTTACGAGGAAGTTAAGTTTAAAAGTAGAAGGCAAAGAATTGAACATATTGACATACTGTCTCTTTGAAAAGAAATTTAGAACTCATATCTAACAGAGGTTAGGGGTTTTCAAGGATAGTTTGGTCGGCAGGGGACTAGGGAATGGTGAATGTTGATTGGTTGGAAATCAAATCATAGGGATATGGGATACAGTCCTTGTGTGCTGAGTCAGCCTCTGGGTGGGGCCACAGGAGTAGTTGAGTCATGAGTCCAGAGTCCAGGTGGAGTCAGTCTGAAAGATATCTCAAACAACCAATCCGCCAGGCGTGGTGTCTCACACCTGTAATCCCAGCACTTTGGGAGGCCAAGGTGGGTGCATCACGAGGTCAGGAGATTGAGACCATCCTGGCTAACAAGGTAAAACCCTGTCTCTACTAAAAATACAAAAACAAAATTAGCTGGGTGTGGTGGCAGGCACCTGTAGTCCCAGGTACTCGGGAGACCGAGGTGGGAGAATGGCATGAACCCGGGAGGCGGAGCTTGCAGCGAGCAGAGATCACGCCACTGCACTCCAGCCTGGGCGACACAGTGAGATTCCATCTAAAAAAAAAAAAAAAAATCTTATGTTTTATAATAGTGATGCTATCTATAGGAGTAATTGGGGAAGTCACAGATCTTGTGACCTCTGGCCACATGATTCCTGAGCAGTAAGGGATTATAGAAACTATACCCACATCTTAGCAGAATTCGGGCCCCTCTCATAATCCTAACCATGTGGCCTTTCATTCGTTTTACTTGCAAAGGTGGTTTATTAATAGTTTTGGAAAGTGCTATTATCATCTTTGCTTTAAGGTTAAACTATAAATTAAATTCTCCCAAAGCCAACTCAGTCTACACCCAAGAGTGACCCATGATAGCTTGAAAGTTAGAAGCAAAATAGAGTCAACTATGTCAGATTTCCCTTACTTTCATAATTTTGCAAAGGCAGTTTCAATCTTTCTCTTATCAAACGATGCTTTCATCTGTAAATTCAAATTTCCCCAGCATTAAGACTGTGATTTCTGTTTTTCAATTTGGATTAGCAATTTCTTGTTCTTTTGACTCTTTTTTATTATTATGTTTCAGATCTGTCTTATGTATGCTACAGATAGCTGGATTTTGTTTCTTGGTCTTAACATATAATCTTTTATTTTGAAATTTTCCTTTTATCTTCAATGCTTACCACCATACTTAACATTTATTAACTGTATGAGGAAGGAAGGTTGTTTTCTCTCCTGAATCCTGGGCAGGGTGGGATCCCTCTAGGCCTTTTTGGAAAGCCCCAGGAGTTGCTAAAGTCACGTATTATTCCTGCTGGATGCTGCTTAGCGATCACTAAGATCGACGTCTCTGAAAAAAAAATTAACAGTCCCCTTATTGAAGTATAATTGTCATACAAGAAATGTCCCTATTTAAAATATATAATTTGGTAAGTTTTGACATACATCTATATGTCTCACACACACACACACACACACACACACACACACACACACACACACCAGGAAACAATCACCACAATCAAGACGGTTAACATGTCTATTGCCCCCAAAAGTTTCCTTGTGCCTTCATGTTCCCTTGTGTTTCTTCCCAGATGAATCATAACCACTGCCCTCATATAGCATATGTACTAGTGTTTATTTACCATGGTGCTGTATATATCTAACCAGGTCCAAATACAGAATAGCTCAATCAGGTCCTTTGGTGTCTTATGATATAATTATTTTAATGTCTTAGCCCAGTGGGCTGAGAGAAGGACTGAGCTTGCTTAAGGACTCAAGATCTATTTCCAATGACCTTCCCTGGTACTGGGTAAAATAATTAATGAAATTGTTCAAATCATCCATTTTTCTAGGAAAATAAAATCTTATGTATTTGATCTTACTATTTGCAGAACTACAACCCTCTGTTTCTCCTGACTTTTCCATATTTTAATATTTTCCTTTTATACTCGTCTGAATGATTCTTTGAAAGAGAATGTTTTCATGAGAATGAATAGGGGAAATAGGAGCCTTGTTAGGCATTGCCAGCTGCTCAATCTAGTTCTCTGAAGCCTCCAGAATAAATATATTTTTAAAACCTTCCAGAACATATTTGTTGAGAAGCGTCATGGCTGGTTAAGCTTGCCTATTTAGTATAACAGATGTTAATTTGTTTACCCAGAATAAAGGAAAAATCTAAGTATATTTTTTCATAGAATGTCCCATGTGGATGATACAAGCATTTTTATTAGTCCAAACAGAGTTTGTATTTTATTTTTATCAGAATATTTTGCCTAATACATTTTATGCTCAAATATTATGAGTTTATGGGATATTTCAAAAAAACTAAAAGGAATATGTAAAGTGATTCCATTGAACCTAGAGTTCTCTGTTATGTGTAATTAATTTCAAATCTTGGTGGGGGTCGAGGAGAGAGCTAATATTTGAATTGGTCAAGTGCACAGACTCTGGAACAAGATCATCTGAGATATAATAACTATCCTGCCAGTTACTGCCTGTGTGACCTTGGGCAAATTGCCCAGCATCTCTGAGAGATGATTCCACATCTTTAAAATGGAGATAACACCTACCTCACAGAGTCTATTTTTCACACTGCTATAAAGATACTACTTGAGGCTGGGTAATTTATAAATAAAAGAGGTTTAATTGATTCAGTTCCTCACGGCTGGAGAGGCCTCTGGAAACTTACAATCATGGAGGAAGGTGAAAGGGAAGCAAGGCATGTCTTACAAGGTAACAGAAGAGAGAGAGGATGCAGGGGAAATGCCAGGTACTTATCAAACAACCAGAACGCAGGAGAACTCATTCACTATCATGAGAAAAACGTGGGGGAAACCACCCCCCCATGATCCAATCACCTCCCACCAGGTCCCTCCCTCAACATGTGGGGATTACAATTTGAGATGAGATTTGAGTAGGAAACCAGAGCTAGATGAAATCACAGAGTAATTAAGAAAACGAAGTGTGATGATACATGTACAGTACTTGTAACAGTGTCTGGATCATATTAAGTGTTATTTGTGTTAATTATTATTCTGTGTATAAAAATAATGCTATTTGAAATATTTTTCTTTTATGTCATGATTCAAAAAGCAAGCCAAGTCAGTTATACATTTGTATTTGGAATTTAGCTTTAAATATACTAATATTAAAATATTATTATGTGGTTTACATTATTGTTGAATGTTTTTTCATCAGTTTGGGACACAAAGACAGCTCTAAATATGTTAGGCAGTGAAAGTTAAAAATAGTTGACTATTTTGAGGGAGCTCTGTCCAAGAATGTTGAGTGAGAAAAAGAAAGCAGATATTAATTATTTCATGTTGTTCTACTGAATACTTGTTACTCAGGTAAACTCTCAGAAACCTTTGTTTTACGTAGACCTGGCTATTTTTCCTAGTATTTCTTAGCCTAGTGCATACATATAAAGGGCCTTTTGTGATCATCTGTTGACTAATAAAAGTGGCATGTTCCTATGCTCCTTGATCCTTTGTACCCCTGAACCCCATGTGGCCCTGTACGAGTAGTGAGAGGAGGAGGGTCCATTATGGAGAATGTGGCAATGCTCATAAACATGTGCATGAGCTTGCTACTTGCTACTTCCTGTGATGATCCTGCTCTGGAAATGGTCCCTTCATTCGGGAGGGTAAATGCTTATCAAATGGTACTAGTGGCCAAAACAGCAAGTACTCACCTATGTCCATTTCTTCATTTTTTTTTTTTTGACTCATAGCCACGTTATATCTTCCAGCCTCCCTTTCAGCTAGCTGCACTCATGTGATGAGTTCTGATCAATGAGATGTGAGTAGAGGCTACGGATGCCTCACTCATAAAAAATATGGCATTCCTGATACTCATCCTATTTTTGCCATCCACTGACTGAATGAGTGGATTTCAAGGACCTAGACAGGGAACACATGTGGAAAAAGTCTGGGTTCCTTAAGTAACAGATTAAGTATCTGATCTGTTTTAAATAATGCTCACCACTTTGTTGCAACTATTAGGAAGACCCTATTCAAGTCCCTTGCTAGGTAAAATTATGAAGAAAACAACTTTTTATAAGAGAAGACAACCTTTTTTTCTCAGATTCTCTATACCCTTCTCCCTTTAATGATAATAATTAACACTTATTGAGTACATATCAGACATTGTTAATTTCTTTGTTAATCCTAGATACTATGTCATTTACCCTCCATATCAATCACGTACAGTATTATACATGCAACTGAAGGAATGAAGCACAGAGAGGTTAAGTTATGGATCACTAGTGGACAATGGAATCAGGATTCGAACTCAGAAAATTCACATCTAATCACCAAACCAAATGGCTTGCCAATATGCTCTAAGAGTCCAGTTTCTCTAGTTGTGCAGACGGTCTACAGAACTTGCTGTCTCAGATGGCTTCCCAAAGCACATACATTTCCTCCCATTATGTCCTTCAAAACACCCTACCCTGAATCTCATTCTTCAAACATTTATTATGCAAAGAAACTAATGGATTAATTAAAATTCTATTTTGAGCACTCACTATATTAAAAGGATTAGTGTTAACTGTAATGGGCTTGATAAACTTGGCAATAGCATGATTCCAATACCTGAATTCCAGAGAATTTCAGCCTCTTTATCATCTGGCCACCCTATGTTGATTTAAAACCAAGAAAGTTAAAGAGTCCTGGGGTGGGGTTTGGATAATCTTTGGCCCATTATTCTTATGAGTAATATAAATTATATCCAAAGGTATCAGAGAAGCAGGTCCAACTGAAGAGCAAAATGGGAGGGTCAGCAGTGAGTGGTGTTGGGAATCCACAACGAAATAAACAGGAGTTAGAAAGCTGCAGGTGGGAGAATAAAAACATGGGAGAAGAGGTAGGTGGTCTGGCATAATTCCAGAAATGAGTTCCACAGTGCCCTATACATTTTTCACCGTCTCCTGGAGTATATCTGTATGATGAATCTGGGATCACTTGAAGGGACTGGAACAGGTATGGGAAAACGTCATATAATTGCATAACTGGTACATAGGGGAAAAGAAATGAATATGTTGATGGAAGTTCAGATAATGTAGTATGAGGGTAAATGTCTTTTGTCTGAAGGATATCCACACAGATTTTTTGAAAGAGGTAACTATGGTGTTGGGTTTTCCTGGATGCACAGAATTGGGAAAGTGGATATCGGAGAAAGGGCAAAAAAGGCACCATGGTGGGTAGTGGAACCTGCATAAGCAAAGGTATAGAGATAGGAATGTTCAAGCTGTGCAACAGAAATAACACACTGTCAAATTTTCAAGTGTAAATTACACAAGGGGTAACATTAAGGGACAAAGGTGAGAGATAAACAAGGAAAAAGGAGAGCTCACAAGTTGTCTGCAGTCATAGTGGAGCCTATCAGAGAAGAAGAGTTCCTCAAGTAAAAGAATTTAGGGAAGGAAGGAATGGGGCCAAGGCTAGAAGAAAACTTTGGAAGAAACTTTAAATGTATTTGAAAAAGAGCTAAAGATGAAGGACTCTCAACCAGTGGAAAGGAGGCAATGGAGATTTTTAAGACATTGGGGTGGGGAGAGGAGAAGCTGCAAGGTGCTGACTAGTACTTTTTCATTGAGCATTCAGCTCTCAGCTGCAAGTGATTGGAGCTGTACCATGAACTGGATATAAAAGGCTTTGCACCAGAGTTCTTCCATAAGGCTCCTTCTAAGGCCAGAGGGATTAAGAAATAAATGGCAATGATGAAGTGGAGGTGTGGGTCGAGGCTATTTTTCTCCAGAGAAGCACTTAGAGGCTCAGAGGAATTGCATAAGGGAGAGCAGATGGGTTTTTAATTTAGGGAACACTTGAACAGGTTTCCAGCCAGGAGAATGAAGAGAGTTTGGCATGGAGGAGAAGGATCGAAGAAGATAGTTGATGGAGGAAAAGAGAAAGTGCAACTTAGCAAGAAGGAATCATGAGTTAATATAGAAATCTCGTTGGTGGAGAAAGTGCAATGGAGGAATCCAAAATCACGTCTTTGATAGGACATCAGGTGTCCTCAGAGAAGAAGGGGATGAAGATTGGAGCCCAGGAGAATGGAGAAGTTTGGCATAGGATTTGGAAGAATATCTGCAAAGATTGTACTCAAGTTTAGTCCATCAGTCACCACGTATTTATGAAGCATCTAGTCTGTGCCCAGTGGTGCCCTGGATTGTACATTGCAGCTTTCCAAAGCGCTGGCAGTTGCTGCCAACTTGGCAATATCAGCAAATGTTGAAAAATGTGTTCTCTGCTCCATCATAGAAGTCACTAATAAAAATAAGGAGTAACTTAGGATCAGGCCCCTAAAGCACTCAACTTACTCTTTCTTTCCAGTTTAAGACTAATGCACTGAAGGCTCCATTTTTAAGTCAATATTATTTATAGTGTTATTTCGTTGTGACCAACATTTTGCATGCTTGGCTATGAGTTCATCTTCTTAGCTTTTCATCACAACTGGGCATAAAATCATGCATGGTTTCACAATATATTACTCTCTCATTATAATAAAGATATAAAGTTATGAGTGTGCAGTGGTATAGAAATTACCATTTTGACTTGAAGATCAAAGAATTTGTGGATCAATGGTTTAGTTAAAATGTAGCAATAAAAGAAAATTTGAGATA
This sequence comes from Homo sapiens, assembly GCF_000001405.40. Lineage (NCBI taxonomy): Eukaryota > Metazoa > Chordata > Mammalia > Primates > Hominidae > Homo > Homo sapiens. The sequence goes on along the minus strand of NC_000020.11, from coordinate 9,866,959 downwards.
TGAGGCAGGAGTTGAAAAGGACAAAATTATCAAGATAGAGTGAATAAACTTATAGAAATGGTGAAATTGAAAATATTGGAGGGCACTAGACAGCAACAGACACTGTCTATTTTTTGCCAATATCCCTTCAGCATTCACCTTCCCATTGCACTCTGAGGCTTTCTCTGGTTTCTGGGGCATCACTGGCTAGAACACAGGCAAGGCCAGAAGTGCTATGAATTAATGCCCATGGGAGAGTCCTTAAACAAATAATGGATATGACTTAGCATGTAAATATTCCATATTTATCATCCCCAAGGTGAAATAACTCAAAAGCACATTGTATCTCATCTCCTGGAGGTTCCCAGTAGGTTGATCCCCAGTTGCCCACAGTGGCAACCTATTCATCAACACACATTAGATTTCTTTCACTCCCTTTCTTACTGCCCTCTTCTCTACTCATTTTCCACATTGGCTTCCCCAGACTGATGACTTGCATTTAAATCTTTGTCTCAAGGTTTTTTCCAGTGGAATTGAGCCTAAATCAGAGAGGGAGACCAAATTCCTCTGCAGAAGAAAAAAAAAATAGAATCCTCCAACATGTGCAATTTCTTCCCTGGTAAACCACGTCCTGTTGAACCACCATCTACCCAGTTCCCCAAGATAGAAACTCTAAAATTATCTCTGAGAATTATCTCTTCCTTCTATCTTATATTCAAATCATTGACAAGTTCTACAGATCTATCCTCTAAATGTCTCTCAAATCTACTTATTTCCATCTCTGTTTGCACAGCATAGGTCAAGCTACCTCATCTCCCACCTAGACCTCCTAACTGGCTTCTCTATTCATTTTTATTTTCTTCCAATTCTTTCTCCACTTAGCATCCCCAAAGCAAACTTCTCAAAGCTAAGTCTAATTTTTTACATCCCACACCCTGCTTAAAACCCTTCAATGGCTTTCCATCTGTCTTACATTACAGCCAACACTCCTTAACACAGCCTGCAAGATTTTACATGGTCTGGACTACCCCCACTCTCCACATTTCCAGCTTCCCCTTAAACCACACTCTCTTTTGCTTTAAACTTGCCAGCTCTCTACTCCTTCTTACATTCAATTCCTGTAGGTTTTCTGCTCCCTTACACCAAGGGATGTGGACTTTCTTAGAAAAGTCTTTCCCTGCAATCTTCCCCTCCCATGACCCCTTGTCTAGTTAATGCCTACCCTGTCTTCAGTTCTCCGGTTCAGAGTTACATTCTCTAAAAATTTTCCAAACATCCTTCATTAGGTTAAATCTCTCTTCTACTGGCCCTTATAGAATTATATAACTCTATTTTTTTCCACCATTGTAATTTTTACATTTAAATTACTGATTATTAAAGTTAGTCTCCTTGTCTACACTTTAGCCTCCTTGATGCCAAGGAAGATAAGCCAATGAACGCAAGCCTGTGAATTTTATATTTATCACTGTGAGAAACAGGAATAGTCTGTGGGGGAAAGGAACATAGCTTCTGGGGAAACAAAAAGGACACATGAAGGGGAATCATGCACGAGCTCTCGTATAGGATAGCTTTGCTGTTCTGCCCTAACATTGGTGAGATTACAGAACAGAAACTTGCAATGAGTCTAATATACTTGCCTCTTTAACATTCTCCAACAATGTGGTAACAGGATAAAAATAAAGCAGATTATCTAATTCTAGGGAGAGTAAATATAGCAAATTAGAAGGCTGTGGGTGTGTAGGATGTGGTCATTGTCTCTTTTTTCTAAAAAGATGTAGAGACAAGGTCTCGCTATGTTGCCCAGGCTGGTCTCAAACTCCTGAGCTCAAGCAATCCTCCTGCCTCAGCCTCTCAAAGTGCTGGCATCACAGGCATGAGCCACCATACCCAGCCCATATGGTCATTCTCATATATGTTGCTAATGCATTCTGAAGGTGTTTTGTTTTCTCTTTCACCCTTTCTGGGAAGAGATCTTTCTTTAGCATAAAATTGTCCATAAGCTATGCTTTAAGAGTTGATATATATTAACAAGAGATCATTTTCTTGATCTTGGAGGCATTTTTCTGGGAGAGAACTGGAGGACCTGAAAGCTGCCCAGAAGTTCTGCAGTATATAAATGACCTAATAAAGATTCATCTCTATGGGATGGATGCAGGACCAGAAAGAACCTAGTGACGGAGAAGTGAGATCCTGGTGGTAGGTGGTCCAGAGGGAAAAACCCATGGAGGGGTCCAGGAAACAAAGTATGAATGAGGGAGACCACCTAACATGCACCTAACATGAACCCTGGAGAGACCAATGAGAAACTTGATTAAAAAAAAAGTAAAGCTCTGTTTTTCACAGAGATCCGGGCTCTGTGTTTATTTGTGTGCATCTAATAGTGACTTTGCTGTCATGGATTTATTCCATGCCCTTTTTTGAGACTCTGTTACCAAACTGGGGTGCAATGATGTGATCATAGCTCACTGCAGCCTTGAACTCCTGGACTTAAGCGGTCCTTCTGCCTCAGCCTCTCATTTAAGGATATAACTAAATAATTGCATGCATTTAAAAAATCTTGTTGAATGCGTGAATAAAACATCACGTGGCCCTTTCAATCAGCACAGAAAGGATGTTTCAAAAGAAAGATTAAGGGATTTGGTGAAGTAAATGGAAATCTTAACTTGAAATATCCTCCTTGGGAGAATGGGAAATATGGTGGATAAAAATGTTCTTTTGTAAGAGTTAGAGGAAACTAATTTGGAGACCTAGAAAAATGATAGTAGGAAGACTTATTAGGTAAGTATGTAATATAGGGTGGGATGGAAGTCGAGGAAACAGAGGAGTGGCAAACCAGTATTAAAAATGATAAGGACAGAAGTAGATGAAAAGGGATATAATGAAGGAAAAAATACAAACTAGGTCCTCAAGACTGAAGTAAATATAGATTTCGGGTCTAAAAGGATAAAGATTTGAGCTAGAAGATAGTTGCAAATACATGAAGTCAAGTATTTTTACATTTTATATGTAATAACTGACATATTTTATGATTGAGACAGTTTATTTGCTTTTGTGGCATAATAATTAACTTTTTAAAACTTATTGTTATTGCTCATTAACATACACTTATTTTCAAGATGGCTACAAATGAGGCTTTCATGAATTGTTCTGAAACCTTTCCAGGTACAGAGTCATGCTAGTGTGTCTCTCTTTGTTTTCCAAATTTAAAAAAGGAAAGTACTGCGGATATTTAAGAAACTTTCTCTCCTAACATGGAGGATCCACAGCCATAAGAAATCTGGAGCTAAATCATGAGTGGAAAATTATCTTTCAGGTCTCCAGTAATATTATACTTGCAAAGAACACCATTGGTGGATTACGATAGAGAAAACTGCTCTGTGTCATGTGGTATAACTCCGTCTGCTGTCTTTTAGCAAGCGTCCAGATGGATTCCATTTCTGGTCTCCAGAAAGACGAGACCAATCAACATGAAAAGCTGTGTCTCTGATTATCCATCACAATCATCCAAGGAGAATCACAATTTTTTTGTTTTCTACCCATCTTTCTTGTGAAGAGACCTGTGGTTTTATTTTTAACCGCGAAATACATCTGTGCATTGATGAGCAATGCCAATGCCAATGGTCGGTTTTTTCCTTGGGTGTGTTTCTTATGGTGGTTAGGAAAGCCTACCTTGAAAATGTCTCTCCTATTCTCTTTCAAAAATCTTTAATTCAGTTTCCTGAGGGACTATTTATGTTTCTGGTAATTATAAGACTTAAATATGCTTATGATATTATTATGACTTGAACATTGCAGATTGAGGAACCAAACAAATGGCTTGAATTGGAATACCATGCTGATGAGAAATAAGACCTATAAAAACAAATTCATGTTTGAGAATTTTTATTTATGCACTCAAAGTACATATTTATATTATTGCTTTTTCACATAGGTTAAAATTGTATCACCATCTCTATAACATGGCTGGGATCAAAAAGAAAGAACTCTCTAGGTTTCTAACTTACACATATTCACAGACATACATACAGCACCCCCTCCACTTCTCTGGAATAGGTCCATACTGTTTGTAAATTTAACATATTTGTTTTTTAAGTTGATAACATTCTAACCTAAGTTCAGGAAGAGTCCAAGGAAAACACTTATTTTCTTTTATGTCCCGGTAATGACTGCTTTAAGCTAAAACTTTGTTAGAGGTTACTTACATTTTAGATTTTTTTAAAAAAATTCCCATTTTTTTTTTGACTTGTGAGAAAGGAGAGTGACTGTTGCCCCAAATATCTTTCCCCCTTCTTATTCAGTAGTAAAGCTTCCTTTTCAGTTGGGCATGTGGCCAATTGGAATAAAGATTTTTTCCAGCCTCCCTTGCAACTGGGTCTGGTCATGTGACCAAGTGTTTGGCAATGGGATACAAGCAGAGGTAGGGTGTGCAGTTTCTGAGAAGTGCATTGCATCTCTGCTTCAATCCTCCCACCTTCCTTTAGGCCGTCATGAGAGACTGGATTGGTTGGAGCTCCAGCAGCCATCCTAGAGTGTAAGTCTGAGAATAAAAGCCATGCCTGACGGAGCAAGATAACAGTCCTTGGGTCTTTTACACCATGGAGCACCATCTTAACTCTGGATTGACACCCAGAAGACCTATTCAATAATTTCTATTTTTAGAAATAATAGCCTTATTATTTTGGGATTCTCTATTACCCAGGGCCTATTATGTATGTTTTTAAAAAATTGGATAGTGTCCTACTAATAAAAGATGATTCTAGCAGATGTCATTTCCAACTAAGGCCCAAATAGTGATATATATAAGTGCAATGGAAATGTTCAAGAGCATTAACTCTTTTAGTACTATCATTAGGTAGTCAAGAACTTTTAACATAAAGAAAAATTTAAAAGAAAATGAAGTTGTATGCACGTTATTTTAACCTTAAAGATACTTTTCTTTTTCAAGTTCCCCTTCCACATTCTATCTACTAACCTGAACTTATGTAATTCAGCACCAAAAAATCTGACTTCACCTGCCAGCACCTGTTAATGTTTGCTTGATTTGGAAGCAGAAAATGCTCTTCTTAAGAGAGGGGCAGGAGAGATGTGCTGGAAAATTAACACACACCTCCCAACTCAGGAGAAGCCCTGAAACAATGACTGACAGGAGACCATGTATAAACACCCCAGCTCCTTTGTTCTTTGAGTGAATTAACTCAGAGGCATTTGTTCTACACTTGCTCGCAGAGTTCTCCACTGGGATTGAGATAAGAGTGGTGACTGACTTGCTAGCATGCTCTTTGTTATTTTTTTTTTTAAATTTTTTTATTTTTTTATTTTTATTTTTTTTAATTATACTTTAAGTTTTAGGGTACATGTGCACATTGTGCAGGTTAGTTACATATGTATACATGTGCCATGCTGGTGCGCTGCACCCACTAACTCATCATCTAGCATTAGATATATCTCCCAATACTATCCCTCCCCCCTCCCCCCTCCCCACCACAGTCCCCAGAGTGTGATATTCCCCTTCCTGTGTCCATGTGATCTCATTGTTCAATTCCCACCTATGAGTGAGAATATGCGGTGTTTGGTTTTTTGTTCTTGCGATAGTTTACTGAGAATGATGGTTTCCAATTTCATCCATGTCCCTACAAAGGACATGAACTCATTATTTTTTATGGCTGCATAGTATTCCATGGTGTATATGTGCCACATTTTCTTGATCCAGTCTATCATTGTTGGACATTTGGGTTGGTTCCAAGTCTTTGCTATTGTGAATAATGCCGCAATAAACATATGTGTGCATGTGTCTTTATAGCAGCATGATTTATAGTCCTTTGGGTATATACCCAGTAATGGGATGGCTGGGTCAAATGGTATTTCTAGTTCTAGATCCCTGAGGAATCGCCACACTGACTTCCACAATGGTTGAACTAGTTTACAGTCCCACCAACAGTGTAAAAGTGTTCCTATTTCTCCACATCCTCTCCAGCACCTGTTGTTTCCTGACTTTTTAATGATTGCCATTCTAACTGGTGTGAGATGATATCTCATAGTGGTTTTGATTTGCATTTCTCTGATGGCCAGTGATGATGAGCATTTTTTCATGTGTTTTTTGGCTGCATAAATGTCTTCTTTTGAGAAGTGTCTGTTCATGTCCTTCGCCCACTTTTTGATGGGGTTGTTTGTTTTTTTCTTGTAAATTTGTTTGAGTTCATTGTAGATTCTGGATATTAGCCTTTTGTCAGATGAGTAGGTTGCGAAAATTTTCTCCCATGTTGTAGGTTGCCTGTTCACTCTGATGGTAGTTTCTTTTGCTGTGCAGAAGCTCTTTAGTTTAATTAGATCCCATTTGTCAATTTTGGCTTTTGTTGCCATTGCTTTTGGTGTTTTGGACATGAAGTCCTTGCCCACGCCTATGTCCTGAATGGTACTGCCTAGGTTTTCTTCTAGGGTTTTTATGGTTTTAGGTCTAACGTTTAAATCTTTAATCCATCTTGAATTGATTTTTGTATAAGGTGTAAGGAAGGGATCCAGTTTCAGCTTTCTACATATGGCTAGCCAGTTTTCCCAGCACCATTTATTAAATAGGGAATCCTTTCCCCATTGCTTGTTTTTCTCAGGTTTGTCAAAGATCAGATAGTTGTAGGTATGTGGCGTTATTTCTGAGGGCTCTGTTCTGTTCCATTGATCTATATCTCTGTTTTGGTACCAGTACCATGCTGTTTTGGTTACTGTAGCCTTGTAGTATAGTTTGAAGTCAGGTAGTGTGATGCCTCCAGCTTTGTTCTTTTGGCTTAGGATTGACTTGGCGATGCGGGCTCTTTTTTGGTTCCATATGAACTTTAAAGTAGTTTTTTCCAATTCTGTGAAGAAAGTCATTGGTAGCTTGATGGGGATGGCATTGAATCTGTAAATTACCTTGGGCAGTATGGCCATTTTCACGATATTGATTCTTCCTACCCATGAGCATGGAATGTTCTTCCATTTGTTTGTATCCTCTTTTATTTCCTTGAGCAGTGGTTTGTAGTTCTCCTTGAAGAGGTCCTTCACATCCCTTGTAAGTTGGATTCCTAGGTATTTTATTCTCTTTGAAGCAATTGTGAATGGGAGTTCACTCATGATTTGGCTCTCTGTTTGTCTGTTGTTGGTGTATAGGAATGCTTGTGATTTTTGTACATTGATTTTGTATCCTGAGACTTTGCTGAAGTTGCTTATCAGCTTAAGGAGATTTTGGGCTGAGATGATGGGGTTTTCTAGATAAACAATCATGTCGTCTGCAAACAGGGACAATTTGACTTCCTCTTTTCCTAATTGAATACCCTTTATTTCCTTCTCCTGCCTGATTGCCCTGGCCAGAACTTCCAACACTATGTTGAATAGGAGCGGTGAGAGAGGGCATCCCTGTCTTGTGCCAGTTTTCAAAGGGAATGCTTCCAGTTTTTGCCCATTCAGTATGATATTGGCTGTGGGTTTGTCATAGATAGCTCTTATTATTTTGAAATACGTCCCATCAATACCTAATTTATTGAGAGTTTTTAGCATGAAGGGTTGTTGAATTTTGTCAAAGGCTTTTTCTGCATCTATTGAGATAATCATGTGGTTTTTGTCTTTGGCTCTGTTTATATGCTGGATTACATTTATTGATTTGCGTATATTGAACCAGCCTTGCATTCCAGGGATGAAGCCCACCTGATCATGGTGGATAAGCTTTTTGATGTGCTGCTGGATTCGGTTTGCCAGTATTTTATTGAGGATTTTTGCATCAATGTTCATCAAGGATATTGGTCTAAAATTCTCTTTTTTGGTTGTGTCTCTGCCTGGCTTTGGTATCAGAATGATGCTGGCCTCATAAAATGAGTTAGGGAGGATTCCCTCTTTTTCTATTGATTGGAATATTTTCAGAAGGAATGGTACCAGTTCCTCCTTGTACCTCTGGTAGAATTCGGCTGTGAATCCATCTGGTCCTGGACTCTTTTTGGTTGGTAAACTATTGAATATTGCCACAATTTCAGCTCCTGTTATTGGTCTATTCAGAGATTCAACTTCTTCCTGGTTTAGTCTTGGGAGAGTGTATGTGTCGAGGAATGTATCCATTTCTTCTAGATTTTCTAGTTTTTTTGCGTAGAGGTGTTTGTAGTATTCTCTGATGGTAGTTTGTATTTCTGTGGGATTGGTGGTGATATCCCCTTTATCATTTTTTATTGTGTCTATTTGATTCTTCTCTCTTTTTTTCTTTATTAGTCTTGCTAGCGGTCTATCAATTTTGTTGATCCTTTCAAAAAACCAGCTCCTGGATTCATTGATTTTTTGAAGGGTTTTTTGTGTCTCTATTTCCTTCAGTTCTGCTCTGATTTTAGTTATTTCTTGCCTTCTGCTAGCTTTTGAATGTGTTTGCTCTTGCTTTTCTAGTTCTTTTAATTGTGATGTTAGGGTGTCAATTTTGGATCTTTCCTGCTTTCTCTTGTGGGCATTTAGTGGTATAAATTTCCCTCTACACACTGCTTTGAATGCGTCCCAGAGATTCTGGTATGTTGTGTCTTTGTTCTCGTTGGTTTCAAAGAACTTCTGGGTATATAGCAGACAGAAGTGCATTCATGGGTTTATCAAAAGACATGAACTAGAACATAATGTAGCAACAATATCAATAATAATCCCAAACTGGGGACAACCGAAACATCCATCCACAGAGGAATGTTTCGCATAAATTGTGCTATAGTCAATGGACTGTTCTACCATAATGAAAATGAATGAACTACAGTTGCACACCGCAACATGTATGACTCTCATAAACATAGTATTTGAGTGAAAGAAGTCAGATACTAAAATACAGACTGTATGATTCTAAATACATCCGTTCAAAAACGGCAAAACTACTCTATGCTGCCAGAAGTCAGGATGGTAGTTATTCTTGGAAGAAGGTAATGATTTCAAGGGAACAAGAGGGGGTGCTTCTGAAGTGTTAGTTATTTCAGTAATTCTTCGACCATTCACTAGTTTGGGAATTTGCTGGAAGGACTAATAAAATTCAACATAATGTTATAGGCATGGTTAAGATTTATTATAGCAAAGGATGCATGCAGGAATAACAGAAAAAAGATACTATACAGGCACAGGCTAGAAGGTTAACAGCAAGGTTTCTTGTCCTCCTTCTCTGAGGAACTCTGGATACATCTCCAGCTGTAAACTGCAGGGATCTGTGTGAGATGACCATGCCCAAGAGTGCTTGCTTGAATCTTGTGATCCAAAGTTCTTAAATGGAGTTGGTCACATTCCTTTCATGTAATCAGCCATGGTGCAAATCCTACACCAGGTCCTGGGTGCACATCACAGACCTTCATGTTTACTGTAAACATGCTGATAACTTGGTTCATCTTGACCCACTACTTTGAGCATATAGATTAGTGTCATTAGACAGTCAGTATGTAAACATTCCAGTAGCTTAATTCTCAGAGTTGACCAAGAGTCATTGCCATGGCTACAGAGATAAACAAAAATTGAGTGAAACACATCCACTGCATAAACTCCTTCTGTTCACTTGTAAGGCTATCTTCTTTGCTCTGGGACTGATTGTATGGGTGTGTTTAGTTTGTGGTTATGAATGCAGATAATACTGAAAACACTATTTTAAAAAATTATTCATATACTAGTAATTCAGAACCATCACTTAGAGCTTGTTCGGGAAGATAAATGCTTTTTTCCCAGGTTCCTGTGAGATTATTGAAACCCTGGGAAGTTATCAAAATAATTTTGGGAAGCCTTTGGGTAATATCAAAAAACAGAGGTTACTCTAAATCTAATAATTATTAAAGTGATGTGAAGACAAAGAGAAAGTCAATTAAATTTGTGATGTTGAGTTTCAGAATATGTTTAAGTAGGCATGTGGTAGTAATTTTGTTAAAACAAAAGATTGTGTTCGGATGTTTTGGCTATTCTTTAATATGTTTGAAGTGACCAAATAACCAAATTAGAAACAAATTTATGATTCAGATGTAAACCTTTATAGGAATTTAATTGATTGCATATTCTGCATTAAAAATTACCAACAATGATTTTTAATAGACTTTATTTTTAGAGAAGTTTTAGGTTCACAGCAATACTGAGCAGAACATGCAGAGATTTCTCATATACCCACTTCCCCAACATATGCACAGTCCTCCCATTATCAACATCCCTCACCAGAGTGGTACATTTGTTAAAATCAATGAACCTACCCTGACACATTATTATCACCCCAAATTCATAGTTTACATTAGGGTTCACTCTTGGTATTGTACATTCTATGGATTTGGACAAATTTATCATGATTTGCATCCATCACTACAGTATCATGGCAGAGTGGTTTTAAATGTTTATGTGTTATGTTTATAATTTTAAAATTGAACATTAAAATATATATGCAATAAAAAGTCAGATCTAAGTTATGCCACCATTTTACTACTTATTGATTATACAGCCTTAAACAAGTTTTTTAACCTTCTGCTTTCTTATCTGTGCACTAAATGCAGGCAATAGTGTCAATGATATAGTCTATGGGTTTTTTCTAGCAGTACAAGTTTGTGTTTTAATAAATTACTGCCTCAGTACCACTGACTAATCCAACAAAAGTCTGTGTATCCACTATAACTAAGGTGTTAGGCTGAGTGATATGGGGAAAAGAATGCTGGAAAACAGGATTTCTGGTTTTGAGAAGCTAAGTTTGGTGAGCAGGGCACCAAAACACCACAACTTATAGCAAGGGAATGAGGCTAGCGTGAAACTGGAGAATTAAGAAAGATCTCATCGTTCAGGTAGCACCTGAAAGGAACCTTCGTGAACCAATAGGATTTTAACAGGGAAAAGAAGAGTAAGTTCATGTCAGGGGAACGCTTAAGCAAAAGCTTCCATCGTGAAGATGCTTGGTTAAGTAGAAAATAGTCCATTTTTTTCTGGCTTGGGGATTTAGAAACACTTAACAAGGAAATGAGGAAGGAAAGAAAGATTGGTATCAAATCATGAAGAGCCTTAACGTTCATGCAAAGGATTCTGCAGTCAATGAAGACCTAAGAAGGTTTTTTAGGATGATGAAGAACATAATTAAATCTGGTTTTCAGGTTCATATTTCCCAAATGTAGCAGGATGGGTTGTGCAGAAAGCAGACTTAGAGACAGAGTTTAGTGTTTGAGATGTGTATTAGGAAGTGCCCTTGGGACACAACCCCTAAGGATGGAAGAAGAGGAAGCAGACTTGAGAGCTAAAGGCTGCCTGCCAGCCACATTCCCAGGGGCAAGAAAACAAATCCTTCCTTGAAGGGGTATCTAGGTGGTATGCCAGGGCATCTGCCACATCAAATTTGTGCTTTAGAAGCACTCAGGGGCCGTGAGAGGCCCAGGTTTCACTCTGAATTGGTAGACATCCAATACAGCCAGACACTATTATTTTAAATAAACCTCCCAGATGATTTTGATGCACAGAAATCTGATAACTACTCTTTTAGACATTCATTCAAAATCATTGAGTAAAGACTCTGAGCCAGGCCTTTGAGCTTTGATTGTAGGACATCTCCTCTGCCTTATGGAACCTTCCTTTGATAAAACAACTCCATGAAAAAAGCATAACTGACATCTATATTTTGCAGATAAGGAAACTAGCTTAGAAAGCATAAGTGACCATGACCAAGGCCAAACAGCTGCTAAATATTACTCCGTCTCAAACTTGCCCCTTCTCACTCTGAGTCTTTCTCCCTTTCCCTCTCACTTCCTCTCTCTCTTTAATATATTTTAAATTTATTGCTGTATAGATCATAATGTTCTCAGAAGAAAATGACTGTCCTTATTATCCTTAGAAACATTTCCAATGTTATGTTTGTGGCCCATCTTACAAAAATAAAAGTTTGTCCCTGTCATGGTAAAAATAGTCTCCCTGCTATATTCTACCTGGCATAGATGGCCATACAGTCCTGGCTTTTCATCCTGGCAATAGCTTTTGCTTTACCTCCCAACACCAGATACTGAAAAGAAAGCGCAATACTCTCTCATCTGTCTCTTCTGAATAAATCCTTCTTAGATCTTCATAAGATTCTGATGGATCTTCATAAGATTGAGTTGGGTTTTCCAGAAAAAGGGGAGCCTTTTACATTCCCCTCCAAGAGGCAACTAAGGCTTTAGGTGGCATCAGTGAGGATGTGCTTTAAAAGAAAAACAAGTTAAAATGAGAATAGGATGAATTTAATGGGCAGAGAGCCTGTTTTTTTTTTTTAATGTGAGTATGTGATACCTTCTTCAAATCTCCCATCAACTCTCTGATTCTCTTAAAATCACTACACCTGTGCAAAACAAAGAGTGGTGCCCTACAAACCCTCCACATGAATCCATGCTGTTCTTGATGATGACAGCTTTACTAAATGACAAGTGAGTCTTAATTTTTCATCAACTGAGCATGGCCTAGGGACAATGATGAAGATACTCTGGATACACCATTGGTAGATGAGGTTGTACTTTATTTTCTACCCTTCTACTCAAAATTAAACCATGGTTTGGAGACACATTAGGGGACAGCCTTTACATGGCAGTGTTGATGATGATGTTTTTCTTCTTAGAGAAAAAAATGTCTAGTACTGATATTCCTCAGCATGCTGGGATTTTAGCAGGTTAGAAGCTATGAAGTACACTTGTGTATTAACAACTTACACAACAAAAGCTCTTAATTGCTTGTCTGGCACAACATGTACTTTCTGAGCTGTGATATTTCTGAGCTATGATATGTAAGCAGTGAATGTTTAAAATTTTTCAATATCTGGCAATCTCATTCAGAATTCCTAACCTTGTTCCGGAGTGAAGTTTGACCCAAATCGTTCAAGGGGATTTCATCCGGAGATTTTACTGACTCCCACTGAAGTCCATGGCCTTAAAGTTACATGGGTTTATTTCCCTTTCAGAAAGAGGATAGAGCTCACCAAATGGGATAAAGTAATTTACTGTTGCTTAAGGCCACAGGTACTTAAGCTCAATTCTACAGAACTTTAGCTATAATCTTTAACCCATACAAATATATTTTTTTCTTCACTGATTTATAAAGCCACCTTTATTATAAACGAAATTCTCAAACGTATTTGGGTTTATTTCTAGACTCCTCTGTTCTACTGATGTCTGCCAATTTCATGTGCTGATACCAAAATATTGTGTGTATGTGTGTGTGTTTAAGAGACAGGGTCTCACTATGTCCCCAAGCTGGAGCACAGTGGCACCATCATGGCTCACTGCAGCCTTGAATACCTGGGCTCAAGAGATCCTCCCACCTCAGCCTCCTGAGTAGCTGGGACTACAGGTGAGCACCACCACACCTGGCTATTTTTTAAAAATTTTTGTTTTGTAGAGACAGGGTTCCCCAAGCTGGTCTGGAACTCCTGGCTTCAAGAGATCCTCCCACCTAAGCCTCCCTCGTAGTTAGGACTACACGCATGAGCCACCATACCTCGCCTCAAAATGTTTTAATTTTGCTATCTCTCAGGCTAGAAAGAAAAGGAGAACTGTATGAGTATTTGTGAAAGTGGACTGACTCTTCCCTGCTCAGGACAGCAGCTGACCCACTGGCCTTCTCTAGGCTGCTCCTGGTTTTCTTCATGTCCCCTCTCTCAGCTCTTTCTCAGTGTCCTTATGGTCACTTCTTCCTCCACCCACTCCTTTCATGTTGGTGCTTGCTTGAGTTACATTCTTGGGCCATTCTCATTTGATGCAGTTTTCCTGGGCAATCTTAACTCTATGTATGGTTTCAGGTAGCACCCACACTAGCATGTCTTCCACACTTCCTTGCCTGGCCCCAGATTTGTGCTTCTTAATGCCTCCTTGACTGGTCTGAGACTTTGGGCGTTTCTCAGGCCACTCAATCTCAACATGTTAAAAAAGTAAAGTCCTACATATTCTACTCCAAACCCACTCTTTCTCTTTCATTAACTGTCTCTGCCCCTACAGCACCACCATCTAGCAGCTATCCCAGTCAAATGCTTGGAAGCTATCTCCAAGTATATTACTTGTGACCCTATCATCTACATCCATTTGGATATATCTTCCTGATTCTACCTCTTTAATGTTTATTAAATCTATTCCCTTCTTCCCACTCCAACTTCCACTGCCTTATTTGAGCCGTTAGGTATTCTTCTCAGAAGCTACACCTGTAGCTCCCTAACTGGAGTCTTGCTGTATCTAATCCATTGAGAGGCAAGTGGTATTTTATTTTATTTTATTTTATTTTATTTTATTTTATTTTATTTTATTTTATTTTATTTTATTTTATTTATTTTTGAGACAGGACCTTGCTCTCTTGCCTAGGCTGGAGAACAGTGGCATGATCATAGCTCACTGCAACCTCAAATTCCTGGGCTCAAGCTACTCTGGCCTCAGCTGCCCAAGTACCTGGGATTATAGCCGCACCCCACCACACCCAGCTAATGTCTTTCTAAAAAATTTTTGTAGACAGGCTCTGGCCACATTGCCCAGGTTGGCCTTGAACTACTGGGCTCAAGCAATTCCCGTTCCTCAGTCTCCCACAGTGCTAGGATTACAGATTTGAGCCACTGTGCCCAGCCTGCAAGTGATATTTTAAAGATGTCAACCTACTTATGTTGTTCTTAAAACACTTCGATGTTGTCTATAATCTTCATGATGAAATTGAAGTGCTAAGGCACGGCATCTGAGGCGTTCACCATCCAGCCCCTCCCTATCTCTCTATACTCATTGACTCTGCCCTGGCTTACCAAAAACTTGCCTTTCCTGAATGTCCTTTCATGTCCATGTGCCTTTATAAATCCTGTTTCCTGTACCTGGGACAGTATTTCTCCCAAATCACCAAAGTCAAGAGGCTTTAACTCACCTGGCTTACATTAACTGCCTGGAAGACTCAGCTCAGGATATTTCATTTTGCAAGGATTTTCTCACACCTTTAACTCCAGCTAGGTCAGGTGTCTCATCTTTGAGACATAAAATAAATATGAGCAATCCTACTCTGGCATATGGTTTATAATATTGATATGTTTATTAGCCTCCTTTAAATAGACTTTTAGTTTCCGGAAGGCTATGTTCATTTTAGGGTTGCCAATACCTATCTTAGTAATTGACTTATAGGACTGTGCTGCCCAACATGGTGGCCATTAGCTACATGTGGCTATTTAGACTTAAATTAAATAAAATTAAAAATTCAGTTTCTCAGTCACACTAGTTACATTTCAAGTGCTTAGTAGCCACACATGGCTAGTGGCTACTGTATTATCCAATGAATATATAGAACATTTCCATTGTCACAGAAAGTTCTGTGGGACAGCATTGACATAGGAAGTGCTCAGTAAATGTTGGTAAGGTAAGTTAAGGATATATGAATTACTTGTGTTTGTTTGTTTTGAGACAGAGTTTTGCTCTATTGCCCAGGATGATCTCGGCTCACTGCAACCTCCACCTTCTAGGTTCAAGTAATTCTTGTGCCTCAGCCACACAAGTAGCTGGGATTACAGGCATGCGCCACCACCCCTGGCTAATTTTTTTATTTTTATTTTTATTTTTTATTTTATTTTATTTTATTTTATTGAGCCTGTTGCCCAGACTGGAGTGCAGTGGTGTGATCTTGGCTCACAGCAACCTCTGCCTCCCGGCTTCAAGAGATTCTCCTGCATTAGCCTCCTGAATAGCTGGGATTACAGGGGCCCACCACCATGCCTGGCTAATTTTTGTATTTTTAGTAGAGACAGGGTTTCACCATGTTGGCCAGGCTGGTCTCAAACTCCTGGCCTCAAGAGATCCACCCACCTCGGCCTCCCAAAGTGTTGGGATTACAGGCGTGAGCCACTGCACCTGGCCATGAATTACTTTGTAATTGAAATTCTTTTTGAGATAATTGTAGATTCCCATGTAGTTGTAAGAAATGCAGAAAGAGCAGTGTATTCTTAATCTAGCTTTCCCCAACATCTTGCAAAACTATAGTACACTATCACAACCAGGATCTTGAAGAAAGAGCAGTGTATTCTTAATCTAGCTTTCCCCAGCATCTTGCAAAACTATAGTACACTATCACAACCAGGATCTTGACATTGATGCAATTCAGTAATCTTACTTAGATATCTCTGGTTTTGCTTGTACTCATTTCTCTCTCTCTGTCTCTCTCTCTCTCTATATATAAAATATATATTACATATATATGTATAGATCTATATATATAACATATATGTATATATACACACACACATATATATAATTAACTACACACAGAGAGAGAAATACATAATACATAAATACATATATACACACACACATACACACACATACATATATACACACACACATACACACACATACATATACACATATGTACAGGTGCGCACCACCACACCCGGCTATTTTTATATATGCATATGTATTTTATGTATATGTATATGTATATGTATGTAGGTATGTGTTTCTCTCTCTCTCTGTGTAGTTATATAATTACAACCCATGTGTAGTTCATACAGTCACCATCACAGTCAAGACTTAGTTCTATCACCACAAGATACCTCCTGTCGCTATTTTATAACAACATCCACCTTCCTCCTGCACCTCTCATTCCCTCCTTAACCCCGACAACTACCAGTCTGTTCTACATTCATAAAATTTTGTCTTTTCAAAAATGTTATATAGATAGTATATAACCTTTTAGGGTATTGTTCACTAAGCATAATTCCCTGCAGATTTATAATCCATGATGTGGCACAAATCAATCACTTCTTTTTATTGCTGAGTACTATTTCATGGTATGTATTAATATGTACCACATTTTATTTAACTATTTACCTATTGAAGGATATGTAGGCTGTCTCCAATTTTTGGCTATAACAAATAAAGCTGCTATGACAATTCTTGTTCATGTTTCTGTGTGAAAGTGAGTTTTCAGTTTTCACTTCTCTGAGAGGAGTGTCTGTCTTAGTTCATTCAGGCTATTATAACAAAAGACCACAAACTTATAACAAAAGATACAAACAACATACATTTATTTCTCACAGTTCTGGAGTCTGGCAAGTCCTAGATGAAAGCACCAGCAGATTCAGTGTCTGGTGAGGGTCTAAGTACAGTGGTCTTCTCTCTGGAATCTCACATGGAGGAAAGGGAAAGCAGCTCTCTCTCTCGGCACTTACATAAGGACACAAATTCTTTCTTCACCTTCATGACCTCATCTAATCTTAATTATTTCCCAAAGACCCCATCTCCTAATACCATCAAACTGGCATGTAGGATTTCAATATATGAATTTTAGGGGGATGCAAGTATTCACCCCATAACAATGCCCAGAAATGTAATTGCTGGATGATATGATAACAATATATTTAGTTTTGTAAGAAACTACCAAAGTGTTTTTCAGAGTAGCTGTACCATTTTACATTCCCACTATCAACGAATGATTTATATAGTTTCTCTGCATCCTCACCAGCATTTGGTGTTGTCACTATTTTCTATTTCAGCCAGTCTGATAGGTGTCTAGTGACATCTCATTGTGGTTTCAATTTGAGTTTCCCTAATGTTTAATGACATTGAACATCCTTTTGTGTGCCTATTTGCCATCTGTATATTCTCTTTGGTGAAATGTCTGCTCTTGTCTCTTAACCGTTTTCCATTTAGATTTCTTTTTCTGTTGAGTTTTGAGAGTTCTTTATATACCCCGTATGTCGGATAGGTAGTTTGAAAGTATTTTCTTCCAGTTTGTACCTTGTTTGTTCATCCTCTTCACATGGTCTTTCACAGAGAATATGTTTTTAATTTTGATGAGGTCTAATTTATCAATCTTAATTTTTATAGATCATGGTTTTGGTGTCAGGTCTAAGAACTCTTTCCGAGACTTAGATCTTGAAGATTTTCTGCTATTTTTTAAGAGTGTTATGTTTTACATCTAAGCCCATTTTGAGTTAATTTTTGTGTAAGGTATGAGGTTTAGGTTGAAGATTTGTTTTTATTATAGCAAAATATTCATAACATAAAATTTAACATTGTAACCGTTTTTAAGGGTACAGTTTAATGGCATTAAGTACACTCCCCTTCTTTTGCAACCATGACCACTATCCATCACCACAACTTTTTAACCATTTCAAACTGAAACTCTGTATCTATTAAGCAATAACTCGGCATTCCTCCCTTTCCCTAGCCTCTGGTAGCCACTAGTCTACTTCTTGTATCTATGAATTTGACTATTCTAGACACCTCATCTAAGTGGAATTATACAATATTTATCCTTCTGTGTTTAGCTCACTTAGCATCATGGCTTCAAGGTTTATCCATTTTGTCACATGTATCAGAATTCCATTCTTTTCAAGGATGAAAAATATCCCCTTCCATGTGTATACCACATTTTGTTTTTCATTCATCTGTTGATGGTTGGGTTGTTTCCATCTTTTGGCTATTGCAAATAATGCTGCAATAAACATTGAGGTACAAATATTTGTTCAAGTCCTTGCTTTCAGTTCTTTTGGGTGTATACCCAGAAGTGGAATTGTTAGATTCTATGTTAATTCTATGTTTATTTTTTAAAAACTGTAATAGTGTTTTCTATAGAAGCTGTACCATTCTACATTCTCACCAGCAGTTCACAAGGGTTCTAATTTCTCCACATCCTTGCCAACATCTGCTATTTTCTGTGTTTTTTAACTAGCCATGCTAATAAGTGAGAGATGGTATTTGTGGTTTTGACTTGCATTTCTCTGATTAGTGACGTTAAGCTTCATATCATGTGCTTATTTTATGTCTTCTTTGGAGAAATGTCATACAAGTTATTTGCCTATTTTATGTTAAAGAGTTTTTAATTGTTGTTGAGTTTTAGGAGTTCTTTCTATCTTCTGGATATTGATTCCTTACCAGATATATGATTTACAAATATTTTTTTCCATACTATGGGATGCCTTTTCAGTCTGTTGATTGTGTCTGATTGTGTCTTTTGCACAGAAGTTTTAAATCTTATGTAGTCCAACTTATCTAATTTTTCTTTTTTATCCTATACTTTTGGTGTCATGTTAGAAATTACTGCTAAATCCAATGTTGTGTAGGTTTTCCTTTATGTTTTCTTCTAAGAGTTTAATGGTTTTGGCACTTATGTTTACATCTTTGGTAAAAATGTAGCTAATTTCTGTATATGATGTTAGGTAACAAAGGGCCCATCTTCACTTTTTGCAAGTGGATGCTCAGTTTTCCCAGTGCCATTTGTTAAAAAGACTGTTCTTTCCCCATCCTGAATGGTCTTGGCAACTTTGTCAAGAATCATTTGACAATATGCAAGGGTTTATTTCTGGGATCTCTATTCTATTTCATCAGTCTGTGATTTAATGCCAATACCATACTCTTTTGATTATTGTTGCTTTGTAGAGAGCTTCGAAATAAAAAAGTTAGTCTTTAACTTTGTTCTTCTTTTTCAAGGTTGTTTTGGCTATTCCAAGTCGCTTGAGATTCCATATAAATTTTAGGATAGATCTTTCTTCTGCTGCAAAAACATTTGGATTTTGCTAGGGATTGCATGGAATCTGTGGACTGCTTTAGGTAGTATTGATATCTTAACAATATTAGGTCTTCCAATCTATGAACATGGGATGTCTTTCTATTTATTTATGTCTGTGTATTAGTCCATTCTTGCAGTGCTATAAATAATTACCTGAGACTGGGTAATTTATTTAAAAAAGAGGTTTAATTGGCTCATAATTCCACAGGCTGTATAGGAAGCATGGCTGGGGAGGCCTCAGGAAACTTACAATCATGGTGGAAGGCAAAGAGGAAGGAGGCACATCTTACACGACCAGAGCAGAAGGAACGGAGTGAATGGGGAGGTGCTACACACTTATAAAAAACAAAAACAAAACAAAACAAAAAAACAGATTTCACTCACTATCATGAGAAGAACAAGAGGGAAATCCACTCCCATAATCCAGTCACCTCCTACCAGGCCCCTCCTCTAACACCGGGGATTTTAATTCGACATGAGATTTGGGTGGGAACACAAATCCAAACCGTATCAGTCTGCTTTAATTTGTTAAGAAGTATTTTGAGCCAGGCATGGTGGCTCACGCCTGTAATCCTAGCACTTTGGGAGGCCGAGGCGGGTGGATCACCTGAGGACAGGAGTTCCATACCAGTCTGGCCAACATGGTGAAACCCCGTCTCTACTAAAACACACACACACACACACACACACACACACACACACACACACAGATTAGCAGGGTGTGGTAGCACACGCCTGTAATCCCAGCTACTTGGGAGGCTGAAGCAAGAGAATTGCTTGAACTTGGGAGGCGGAAGTTGCAGTGAGTAGAGACGGTGCCACTGCACTCCAGCCTAGGCAATAGAGGGAGACTCTGGTCTCAAAAAAAAAAAAGAAAAAAAAAAGTGTTTTGTTATTTTCAGTGTACAAGTCTTTCACCTCTTTGGTGAAGTTAATTTCTAAGCATTGTATTCTTTTTAATGCCATTGTAAATAAAATTGTTTTCCTAATTTCCTTTTGAGATTGTTCAGTGCTACTATATAGAAATGCAACTGATTTTTGTGTGTTTATATTGTATCCTGCAATCGGGTTGAATTTAATATTAGTTCTAACAGGTGTGTATGTGTGTGTGTGTGTATGGACTTGTTAGGGTTTTCTACAGAGATCATGTCATCTGCAAACAAAGGTAATTTTGATTCTTATTTTCAAATTTGGATGTTTCTTCTTTTTTATTTTTATTTTTATTTTTGTCTGATTTCTCTGGCTAGCACTTCCAATACTATATAGAATAGCAGTGGTAAACGTGGGCATTTTTGTCTTTGTCCTGATCTTAGAGGAAAAGCTTTCAGTCTTTCACCATTGATTTTAGCTGTGAGGAAGTTATGTTTTTTGTTTGTTTTTTTCTTGTGTGTGTGTGTTTTTGCCTATATATGTTCAATTGTTGTAGCACCATTTGCTGAAAATCTATCTTACTCCAAGAAATTGTTTTTTCACTTTTGTCAAAAATTGGTTGTTCATATTTATATTGGTCTATTTCTGGGTTCTCTATTCAATTCCATTGATCTATGTGTCTAGCACTCTGCTAATACTATGCTGTCATGATTACTGCAGCTATAGAGTAAATCTTAATGTTTGGATAGGGCAATTCCTCCCACCTTATTCTTCTTGAACAAATTGTTTAGCTATTCTAGACCCATACCTTTCCATATAAATTTTAGAATAAACTTGTCTATATCTATAAAAAATATACTGACTATTTTATAGAAATTTCAGTGATTATATAGATCAATTTAGGGAAAATTGATACCTTTGCTATGCTGAGTCTTCTAATCTATGAATATAGTATGCCTCTCCATTTACTTAGGTCTACTTTGACTTATTTCATTTGTATTTTGTAATCGTCATTGTCAGCATACAGATACTGTATATATTTTGTTAAGTTTAAACCTAAGTATTTCATTTTCTTTGGAGCAATTGTAAACGGCATTGTGTTTTAAATTTTATTTTCTGTATGTTCATGATTAGTACACAGAATAAAATTTTGCGTGTGTGTTGATCTTGTATGCTGCAAATTTGCAGAACTCATTTATTATTTCTAAGAGTTATTTGTTAGATTCTTTGGCATTTGATTCCTAGACAATCATGTCATCTGCAAATAGAGACAGTTATTTTTCTTGCCTCATTTCAGTGAGCTAGAATTCAGCTAGAATTTCCATTACTATATTGAGTAAGATTGGTAAGAATAGTCAGGCTTGCCTTGTTCTGCCTCTTAGGGGGAAAGCATTCAATCTTTTCACCTGTAAGTTTGATGTTAGTCAGAGGTTTTTTGTAGTTGCTTTTTATCAAGTTGAGGTAATTCCCCTCTAGTCCTAACTTGCTGAAAGTTTTTATTCATAAACATGTGTTGGGTTTTGTCAAATTTTTTTCTGCATCAATTGATGTGATCATATTACTTTTTTCTTTTTCATTTTTTATTATGGTGAATTACATTATTTTTCCATATTAAATCTGCCCTCCATTCTGGAGAGAAGCACCACTTGACAAAGTATAATTACTTTTATACATTGTAAGACTCAGTTTGGTATCTTTTTTTTCAGGATTTTTGCATCTAAGTGGTAGCACATGTCTGTAATCCCAGCTACTCGGGAGGCTGAAGCAAGAGAATCGCTTGAAGCTGGGAAGCAGAAAATATTTGTTTATAGTTTTGTTTTCTTTCCTACTGAATTTGTTTGGTTTTGTTATCAGGGTAAGAGTTGTTTCATCAAATGATTTGGGAAGTGTTCTCTTCTGTTTTCTTAAGAAAATTGTGAAAAAATGACATTAATTCTTCTTCCAGTAGACTTCTCCAGTAAAACACTCTCACTAAATTATAATTAAACACTTCATATTAAAAAAAGTTTATAGCCAGATACCTAAATAGATAACATACTCTCAATTGCTGATTACAGGTTATTTTTCAAGTTTAAGTCTCTGGATATTTCATTTTGGGGAGCTTTTTAAGTTATGTATTCCATTTTCATCAGTGGTTCCAGGACTATTCAGCTTACGTATTTCATCTTACTTGAGTTTTTGTTAGTGTGTGGTTTTCAGAAATTGTTTATTTACTGTAAGTGGTTGAATTTATGAACACAAAGTTTTTCCAAATATTTACTTAAATTATCCTTTTAATGACTTCGAGATCTGCAGTTTCAGTACCTATTTTATTCCCAATGCTGGTGATTTGTGTCTTCTCTTCATTTTTGTCTAAACGAATAATTTTAATCCAGACTTATTTTAGTTATCTGTTTTCATTCCATTTTCATACTCTGTAAGGCTTTTTTTTAATTAAAAAATTATTTTTAGGAACAAGGTCTTTGTTTTTCAGGCTGGCACTGAACTCATGGGTTTAAGTGATCCTCCCACCTCAGTCTCCTGGGTAGATGGGACTATAGGTGTGTATCCCTGCACCCAGCTTTCTGTAAAATTTTAATATGTTTAAAAGAGAATAATATTTTGGGATATTTTGAAGAGAATAATGGCTTCTTTTTAAAACACATGCATTTATTGTCTAAAATTTCAAGCAATTTTAAGGAATACAGAGAAGTAAACAATCAACCCAAAATCTTTTCATCAAAAAAATCCCTTGGTTTATAATATTCCATAAATCTTCCTGTATAGAAAGAGATAAAAATATAAGGTTATAACAAGTAGGATAAGTTGACAGATATACTTTTTCAAGTATCATCCATATGTGGATGATAGCACAGAAGCTACTTTAAAACTAAATTGTATTTAATCTTATTAAAATTAAATAAGAAAAGAAGCTAAAATGTGCCTGCAGTAATCTCTCAACTTCAGAAAACGGTTTTTTTTCATATAGAGAGATAAGTTTGAAACATATTCCCTTAAAGGTAAGAAAAAAGCATGATGAGATCAGAGGTGGGGTTTTCTATCTATCTGCGGCAACTTTAATAATATACATTGACCACTTGCTGAGGAAATCATTATACTTAAACCTCCTTACAACTCCCTTCTTTCTACCTTCAGATTTTAGTAAGTTATCCAATGATACTGACATTGTCAAGGTTTATATTTATGTTCTGATTTAAAACTGCCAAACACCAGTGGTTTAGTCTTAGATTTATTTTAAAATAAATATGATTATCATTATCACATTTGACCACAGCTTCATCGTTCATGAGATTTATGTTTTAAATTTATCTCTTAGTTGTATAAATTTGATAATGAAGTAGAATATTATAAAGGTTTTTTTCTGCTGTGTATACTGATTTATTGCATTTGAGAACAATTGACTGTTGCCTTGAAAATCTGAAGAACACCAGTGTAGGAAAATAAACATTCTTAGGTCACCCTTTCTTTCCCTCAGAACACCCTCAGGCATTGCTTGATGAGAGTGAAGAAATCTAAATGCACACTGACTTTCTTTTTCTTATATGTAAATTGCCTTTTCTGTCTGGATATTCAGAACATTATTTGTCTTTGAAGTTCTGTAACTTCAGTAGGATATATTTTAGGGTTAATTGTTCCAGGTTGATTCTTTTTTTTCCCCTGAGACAATTGTGTTCTTTTGTTCTGCTGATCTAACACTCTCTATTTCAGGAAACTAACTTTTGTGTTTCTATTACATCTTTGATTATTTTTTTCTCTTCCATTTTATTCTTTTTTTTTTTAACAGCAAAGGTTGTAAAAAGTGGTATTCTGGTAGATATGTAATAACCAGTTGTCTGAAAACAAACAAACAAACAAAA
Organism: Homo sapiens; assembly: GCF_000001405.40. Taxonomy (NCBI): domain Eukaryota; kingdom Metazoa; phylum Chordata; class Mammalia; order Primates; family Hominidae; genus Homo; species Homo sapiens. The sequence continues at coordinate 9,842,795 of NC_000020.11, read as the reverse complement.
CCCTGATTTGTAGCATTTGTCCATTTGTGTGGGGTAAATACTTCCACAGTGGCTGATTTCAAGCTGTTACTGAAAATGGAGTTAGGAAGCAGTACGTATGCCCAATCAGCTCTTGCAAGCTGGTGCAAGCCAGCTCCTGCATGTTACTGGTTGTACATGTGTTGGATCTCCTTTGTTTGTATTTCATAAAAATGGTCTATGATTTGTTTTATACTTATTTGTTAGTAGCTAAGTACTTGTCTATTTATCACTGTGTTTTCAGTGGTTAGTCTGTTTTTTTTTCCTATTCTCTCTTTCTTTCTTTCCTTCTTTCTTTCTTTTTTTTTTTTTTTTTTTTGTAAGACGGAGTCTCCCTCTGTTGCGCCCAGGCTGGAGTGCAGTGGTGCAATCTCGGCTGCAACCTTTGCCTCCCGGGTTCAAGTGATTCTTCTGCCTCAGCCTTCTGAGTAGCTGGGATTACAGGCGCCCACCACCACGCCCGGCTAATTTTTTTGTATTTGTAGTAGAAATGGGTTTCACCATGTTGGCCAAGCTGGTCTTGAACTCCTGACCTCAGTGATCCGCCCACCTTGGCCTCCCAAAGTGCTGAGATTATAGGCGTGAGCCACCACGCCTGGCCCTTAGTCTCTTACCTTTTGAGTGGTTTAATGGCTTTTATTTTTCCCTGAACTCTGCTAGTTTATCTTTCATTTTAGTCTTATTGTCTGTCTTTAAATCCTTATATTTCTTTATGGTGCTTTTAAAAAACATTATTCAGATTATATTGCCTTTCATTCCATTGAAACTCGGGAAAAAATATTTGTCCGAACTTTTTTTTCTGTTTCCTTGGGGGAATTCTTTAGAGACCTATTCTTTATATGCTTTTGTTTATGTTCCTTGGAACATTCTTTTCCACCTCCTATTCTTTCCCTACCTCCACTATCTGAGCAAATGTCCTGCTTCATTTCTAGAATCTATGCTGGTTCCCTTATGGTTGCGGTTCATCTTTCAAGAATTCCAGCCATTTGTAGATGCATAGCCTGGAGAAGGTAAAGAGAATGAGCTGGGTAGTCTGAACCTGGGTTCCAGCATGCTGTCTTACACATCCCTGTCAGCCAATCTACCAAGTTCTCCACCCCTCAGGTTCATCTTGTCACAGTTTTTGGTGTCAACAAGGTTGGTTGACATTAGTTTCTCATGAAATCTTGACTAGTCAGTAGCTCTGTTTTATTGAAAAACACACTTCTATTTACTATCAAACACTTATTCCTACCCCATTACAAATTACAAATACAGATTTTGACAGAGAAAATTATGTCTTAAATGGTAGACAATAAATACATGCCTGCTCAATAAATCATAATTAAACTAGTCATATAAAAAATGCATACAGCCAGATACCTAAATAGATAGTATACTCTCAATGGCTGATTACAGGTTATTTTCCAACTTTTAAATCTTTGAGCCAGAGAGAAAGTCTATTACTTATTCAAAAATAAAGTTTTAAAATCTGTCTGACAAATCAGTAGAGTTCTACTTTGTGTGTTCAAAAGTGCTGTATTCAATAAATACATCAATGTGGTGGACAAAGGAATGTTTTGCCTAAATTCCCCTTAAGTGAAGGATTTGTTACTGCAGCCACAGGGACTACAGCTGACAGAGGCCTTTAGCTGTTGTTACCTGTAAGAATTGCCAGAGCTGCCTGTCTTAAGTTCGTGCCCCTCCTAGGAACAGCCCATGCTCAATGATTGATGTGGATGTAAAGGACTGACTATCTCAGACCAACTCATGGTCATTCTGAAGGATCACCCTAGCTAGTGAGCTCCATAAGGGGCTGACAAAGGCTGCAATTGGCTTGCATCACAGCTTAGCTTCTACCTCTGCCTGCTCCTGCTTCCTGTATCCCTCCCACCCACAGATGTTGGTCCTTAGTCAAATACTGCAGGCTAAACCCTCAAGAAATGGCATTACATATAAAGAAAACCCTTAGGAATTCATGCAATGCAGTATTTACAGAAATAGCATTATTATTCATCTATAATTTTTACCTTGCACGCTTCCAAAATAAATTTGAGGCAGCTAACAATCATCATCATATTTAACTAGCAGAAACAAATGTACAAACACAAACTTTATGTATAACAGGAAGGCTATTTTAAGTGATTAAAGTTCAATATTTCAAATAAAAATTTTAACTGATACTAACCAATGACAAATAAACGATATCTCAGTAAAAATATGTTCTGGCTTTTGCATCTATGTGAGCACACATATAAGAAAGTCAAAAGTAGAAAATATTTATGCATATAGTTGTGGGGGTGACGATGGTGGCAGTGGGTAGGTTGTTAGGGCTGTGTGCAGCTTTGAGAAGGAAGAGATGAGTATGATACACAAGGACATGGGACTACTGAGGGAGAAAAGTAATCATCCATTTATCCTGTGGTTTCTGTTTTGATATGGCCAGTACAATATTAAAGGTACTAAGTGAATGGAAAACAAGCAAGGGGAAATGATAACTACTATACTATTAGCTAGAAAACTGTCTAAGGTCATTGAGTATAATAAGGAACGGAGAGATACAAATCCTTATTTTGTAACCTGCTATCTAGTTATGGGATCAGATTCCATATCCACTACTAGCTCATAAGGGTACTCTTGTGGCAGCTGAAGACAGACAAGAGCGTGGCTTCTTCATTTCCAAGGGTGAAAACTCAGGACTACTTCGTGAATGTCTTTCATTCACTAGAGTCTTGATAATGCTGGAGACTTCAAGAGTCTGGGAGGGCAGTAGGCAACTGGGAAGTTTAAGTTGAACCACAAATATCGTTGCAAACTTCAGCCCAAACATCACTGAACACAAAGGCCTGACATCTCTTGGTACAAAAATGCGCTCTATGTTTGTCATAATCTGTCGGCTTTCTTAACTAGGCAAGCCCAAGCTTGCTATTAGATGTACAATAAACACTTTGATGCCCAGTCTGAGTTTTTGTCCCAGCTCAGGAAAGGCAAGGGGACAGCCAAGGCAGACTGGTTCAGACTTGACCGGGGCAGCTCATCCAGCAACTGGCTTACTAGCCAGCTAGCAAAGTGAGCATGAAAAGGTCCAGGAATCCTTCTTCCCCTGGGCCTTAAATTCGAAATCAGACAGCAGCCAAGGAGAAGCTGGGTGGTCACAGCCTAGCCCCACAAACACTCCTTCCAGGTAAGGCTCAGCAACCCCAGGCTGGAGGAGTCTCTGTGGACACCAGAGACCATTGCTAGGCTGGCGGATTGAAGGATGGCCACTGAGAGGTCACAGATAAGGGGTTCTCTAGATGTTTGCTACTCGGAGTGGTGGGAGGGCCAGCAGCAGCAGCATCACCTGCGAGGTTGTTAGGCTTGCAGAATCTCAGGACCCAGCCAATTGAATCTGAATCTGCATTTTAATTCACAGGCACATGAAAGTTTGAGAATCACCGGTCCAGGTGGTGGCAAAGAGGCCAGCCCACTGTTCTGCTTCTCAGCCCCTCCTCCTCCCCACCTCTGCTAGCCTCTTAAGCAAAACTCAATCCTGCAATGGTCCTGAACAACATTTCTGCAAATCCCGAGTGTTGGGGGAGAGGGCGTGCAGGAGCTGCCCCCGCCGGGGACGACTGGGAGTAAACGTGATTGGATTGGTCGCCTGCTCCAGCTCCCGGCTCCTGGCTCCTGCACCCTGAGTGTAGACACGCCCCCCGACCCTCCCCCTCACCTCCACCCCCGGCCGCCGCTACAGCCTGCCTCCCGCCGGCTGCCACGAAAACCCGGAGCAGCTGCGTACGCTCATGGACAGTCCTCCGAGGGGCGAAGCCGGGCAGCTGGGCATGCTCAGTAGCTGGGGGAGGTTTGGGTGGAGAGTAGAAAGCTGTGGCTCTGCCTCTCACCCCCTCCCGCTGGCCCCCGCCCCCCTTGCCCCTACCCAGCCAGTAGTAGTTCCCCAGCGTGCGCCCGGGGAGACCGGGAACATGGCGCTGGGAGCGCTGTAGCAGCTGAGAAGGGGCTGAGGCACCGCCGCTTCGCTGACAGCCGGCCACCAGGTAGGCAGGCGCGCCTGTCGGGACTGCCTGGGTGGGTATCGGCGAGAGGAGAGGCGCCTGCGGGGATGCGCGCCGCTGGTAACCGGAGCATCTCTCTTTGCCGGGAGAGGATGCGAAGAGGACCACTGTGACAGCGCGATCCTGCATCTCCTAGGAGATGCAAAGGCTAGGGACCTGCTGCCTGGAGGGTAGGGATAGGGGACCGCCCACCCTCAACCCATGCGCTACTATCCAGCCTGGGCTCTCTACCAACCAAATAAAGGATGGTTCCATTTTGCTGGGCGGGAGGGCGTGGAGGAGAACCCCGGATTCCAGCCCTGAGAGCGTGCTGGTACCCCGAACTGCTCGCAAGCCCAGCACCAGTTCTTTGTGTGTATACAGCAGCGCACGCCCTGGGGGTGCCACGGCGCTGCTTTTCCCGAGAAGTGTTGGACATATTGCCAGAGCAGGATTCCCGCATGGTTTTTGTCTTTTGGCAGGTGTGGACTGGAGGATGCAATAGCTGAGCCTTTATGAGGCTGTGTTTTCCTTTGTTATTTGTGTGTGTGTGTGTGTGCGCGCGTGTGTGTGTGCGCGCGCGCCTGGTGGGTTGTAATGGAGAGACAGAGAGAGAACTTCTGCTTGTGGGCACCCTTGTGAGCAGGGCGTGGAAGAGGATCTTGGTTCCAAACTCTTGTCAAAATTGTGTGCCATGTCAGCCTCCTAGAGGGTAAACTTGAGAAGTCCAGGGATCATCACTGCTCAGTTTGGAGGATAAGCGCGATCGCCCTTCTTGAAACCATGTGTGTGTATATGGAGCTTTCAACTCGGGCTGAGTTAATTTGTCAACATTAGATATCAATTAAGGGAACCTGAAACGCTGAGGCTATTTATGGTGGTCTTTTTATGGCCAGAATAATAAACAAAAAGAAAAGTTGGCACAAAGCCAGAGGAAAGTGTCATTGTTAATAGTTGATGACAGCTTGAAAGACTGAACACACTTTTAGGAAAATCAGGAAACCTGGCATTCTACGGAGTTCTACCAAGACATAGCCACAGGGTCTTAGGTAACTCACAAAAATCTTCTAGTGCAACCGCTTCTCTTCTGGGGCTTGGAGGCTGTAGACACTCTTTCTCTTACCTGATATAGATGGACAAGATGCTTTTTAGAAGTCCCTCCTACACTAGAATTCTATGAAATTGACACCTTATAATAACAGCTGTGCCACCTTAGATTTGTGTATCTGTTATATTCAACAGCACAACAACTCAATCTTGGGGAGAAAGATAACCAGGTTAGTTAGGGAGAAAGGTAAATTTAAAGCATGGGTTTATTTTTTGCTTTATAATTTAAAGGATGGGCATCTTAGCATATGAAGTTTGGAGACAGTTTCCTCTGCACTCACACTATTTATTTTTATAGTCTTGTTAGGTGGCGAGAATGAGTCAGTATCATCAAAATGAAGTGGGGGAATACATAAGGAAAATGCATTTAAGTAAATTAAAGCCATAAATGTCCAATCTGATAATACCTTGACTTGGAATACATATGTGCAAGGCAGATGCACTGCTAAATGGAAGCAATATAAGCCAATGGCAAGTTCCTTGGTAACGCTGGCCTTAGACTAAAAACCTAGTGTTCTTCTGTGAGTGGGTAGAGATTGTACTAGGTCTCTGCAGCTTGTTATTTTATTAATAAATGTGAGTTTAATTGAAAATTGATATCTAAGCATTGAATCAATTGATATCTAAGCATTGAAAATCTAGTCTGGCAGTGCCTCTCCACTCTGTCAGGACCTGCTGAAATGCTGTAGGTATGGGAGGCAGGTGTTTGAACTCTGACTCTTCTATGTTTAGCTTTGTGATTCTGGGAAAATTATTTAACTTTCCTAAGCCTCAGTTTCCTCACTTATAGAACAGTCCTCGGAATAGTAAGACTTATCTAGATGAGTAGATGTACGGATTAATCATAATTTAAACCACCAGGAAAATGGTGGTGACTGTTATGAGTAAGAGGGAAATGGATATTTACTGAACCTATGCTATGTGCCCTATATAATGATTCAGGCTCAAACATGTTAATTCCCTTAAATTTCCCAACTATATTAGTTTCCTAGGGCAGTTATAACAAGTTACCAAAAACTGGGTGGCTTAAAACCACAGAAATTTATTCTCTCATGGTTCTGGAGGCTAGAGGTCCAAAATCAAGATGTTGTCAGGGCCATGCACCCTCCAAAACCTCTAAGGGAGGATCCTTGCTTGCCTTTTCCAGCTTCTGGTAGCCCCAGGCATTCCCTGGTTTGTGGCAGCATAACTCCAATCTCTGCCTCTGTATTCACATGGCATCTTCCTCTCTGTCTCTGTCCCTGTGTCCAAATTTCCCTTTTCTTATACGGACATCATTCATATTGGATTTAGGACCTGTTCCTTATTCAATATGACCTCAAATTAACCAGGTTACATTTGCAAATGCCTGATTTCTAAACGTCATATTCACAGGTTCTGGATGGGCATGAATTCTTGGGAGACACTCTTCAGCCCAGTACACCAACATCCCTATGAACTGTGTTTGATGACAACATTAACATTATGTTAGCATAAGAGGTAAAGATAGAGTAGCATGGATTCAGAAAATACTTTAAAGATTATTTAAGGGAACTAACCTATTTGAGGCTTTATATACACAACCATGGTAGGGAAGAGCAGGGTTCAAAAGTACCTCATTTATGCATGTCACTTACCTGGGAGCCAAGACAACCCAGGACCTGGATCTTCTAGAGTATCTCAAACATACTGTGCCCCCAGTTGATTTGTTGATGTTGCCTTCCATCCTTCTTGCTAACCTTCCAAACAAATGCAAAAAAACCAAAATGCATTAAATAACAAAAACAATAATAGCAACAAAGGCAAGCTAACAACTTTCTAGTCCTTCTTAACCTGGTAAATGGCACCACTATCCATCGAGTTGCTTTAACCAGAAACCCAAGAATCACCTTTGACACCTCCTTTCCCTTGACCCTCCACATTTAAAACCATCATGCAGTCTTATAAATGCTATTTTCTCTATAGATCTCTAAATACATCTTGATAAATTATTTCTATCCCCACCACCACCACTATCAAACTGCAAGAGATGATAATCTCTTACCTGGACCACTAGAATAACTTCCTAACAAGACCCCTGGTTCCTTGCCTGGCTCTTCTAATCCTTCATCCAGAGCAGAGAGGATAATGTCAGTTCCCTACATAAAATACCACCCACACACCTGGGACAGATTCCAGAGACTCCTAGAGCCTCTGATACTTGGCCAGCCTCATCTTGTGCATCTCTTCCTCTTGATGCTGTCACACTGACCCTCTGTCTGTTTCTGGAACATCCCCAACCATCTTCCCTCTATATTTTACCAGTCTGGGTCATACTCATCCCTTGGGCTTCCTTGATCTCTCTTCCCCACCGACCCAACTCTCTCATCATCCTTTCACTTTTATTCCACAGCACTTATTCCAGTTTGCAAATGCCTGTTTGTTTGGCTATGTCTGTAAGCTCTATAATGGCCATTTATTTTATGTCTTATATGCAGAAGGTGCTCAATGAACTTTTGGTGAATGAGTGAAGGAACGAATACTCTGCCTCATAGCATTTTCCTGTGCCAACTTCAAGATCTGATTTTTAGAAGGTTTTTCTTTTCTAGTATAGAAAGAGCAATTTAGAACCTTATTCTGACTTCAAAAGGAGAGTATTCTTGGCTTTAACAAATGCATCTTTTAAGAACTGATTTAGGCTAGAAGTTAAGAATTGAGTCAAAATATTTTTTTGGCAACTGAGGTTTTTGTAAAAATACATCAATCAGTCAATAAATATTCTGCAAATATTTATTGCATGTGTATATTTGCCATGCTACACCCTTGGAAGACAATGGTGAGCTAGACTTTCAGTCTTCTGGAAATTAATGGTAAACAATAAATAATAATCATTATGTATAATAATAAATAAATAATACATTTAATTATTTGTTGAGCTTCTGTTATATGCCAGTGTCTCTTCAATTCCTGTCCATAATCATCACTATAACCCTCTAATCTTTCCCAATAACACAGAACCCCACACTTACTAGGAGCACAACAAATATTTTGTGAATTAATAATTTGTTGGTATTATTATTCTGATCTGTTGAAATAGGAAATGTGTGCTTATCTGGGGAAAAAGGTATCTGCACATATATAGAAGAGCATGCAATTGCTTTCTCACCATATCTAGGTGGGCACTGTTTTATTTTAAAAATCATCCTGGACATTATCTCTGGAGGTAAATTAGGAGAGAAATTGCTCTTTATAAGGCGACAAGTTCCTGGTGTGTTTCTGTCAAAATCCTGAATTGTTTTATTTCGTTTAATTGTCTAAATTTGTCCTGTTTAATCCAAGTGAGAAGTGACTTAATGTCTCTCATTCAGAGCCCTTTTTGTAGTTTTGAATAGTAAGACTGAGTGCCCAAGGGAAATGAATGTAGTTCAACAGAGGAACACATGTTATGTTTTAGATTTCTAAAGTGGCTTCAATTTCAGATTTTTATATTAGTCTCATAAAAGGGTGATTTTTAAAAATAAACAGTAAAATAGCATTTAATGCCTATGTTTAAGTAAAGTTTTTAATGTAAGTAACCAAAAATTAGACAGTGTGCCTTGATTTTGTTTAAAAGTGATGGATACACAATGGGATCAATTAAAGCCTAAAGGAACTAGTACAAAATTTCAGTAATGTTTTTGGTTATAAAATACATGTTCAAAAATTGATGGCCACCCAAAATGCCAGTGTTTTACTAACTAAAAAGTAGAATGGAAAATGATTCTATTCATGAATTCACTAATATATAAATTGAGTGGGAAAAACAGGAAACATACATAAAATACTCGTGAATAATAAGAAATATATAAAAGTCTTTGTGGAAAGCTATACAATTTTACTCAAACCAATAAACTGAGGAGCAAACAAAGAAAGACATACCTTATGCTTTGGTAGAAAGATGAATATTATGAAACGGTTATTTTTCCCAGATCAATTATATAGTTTTATTACATTGGGATTTGGGAGAACCTTACAAAATGATTCTAACATCCATCTGGAAGAATCACCATATAAAAATAAAAGAAAACTTTTCAAAAGAATAGTAGTGGTGGTGGGGGAGGTGAGTGGTGGTGGTAAGATGGGAGGTGGTGGTACATACAGGTGGTGTGGAGAGTGGAGTTCTAGGGGTGGTAAAGGTGGGGGGAAGTTTGATGGTGGAGACGAATACATGAAGGTGGTGGGATGAGGTGGTATGGATGGGGGTGGTGGGTGGTAGATGTGGGTGGTTGGGGGGTGAAGGTAGGTAGATGGAAGTGGTAGTGGTAATGGGCGCCATTGTTGAAACAAAAGTAAATTTGATCATTGGCTACAATCATTATAGCAATGTAGTACTGGTGTAAGAATTGATTAATAGCTCAGTGGAATAGAAGAGCCTGGAAACAGATTTAGGTCATTCTTAGAACCAGAAATATGACGAAGAAGGCATTATGAAACAGTGAGGAGTATTTGACAAAACGTCATGGAAATTGGCTAAGTGTATAGAAAGCATTCAACTAAGAACCTCTGTTTACATGACCCTCCAAATGAAATTCCACATAAATTGATAAGTTTATATGCAAGGTGGAAAACAAAGCTAGAATAAAATATTTAACTAATTTTAGGGGAAGTACTTTTTAAATATAAAATCAATGGGAAGAATCACAAAGCAAAATAAAGATTTGAATATATTTTAAACTCTCATATGCAGCAATGCATGCATTTTAAACAGAACAGAATCATGGAAAACAATATTGACACCAAACATGACATGACAGTTCATGATAGCCCTGAGGAACTCTTGCAAATCAGTGAGTAAACAATAGCACCCCAATAGAATTGTCCAAATATCTGAATGCATAATTCAAAAGGAAAAAATAAAAGACCAATGCACACGTTTAATAAATGTTATTACTATTAATCACAGAAATGCAAATTAAAATAACAATGAGGTGGTGTGTTTTATGTATTAAAAAAGTAAAAAATACAAAAAATAAACTTAATACTGGCAAGGATGCAGTGAGAAGGACAATCTCTTTCATTACTTGTGGTGGGAGGGTTACATAATACAAGCTTCCTACAGAGAAGTTTAAAAATACTTATCAAAATGTCTGCCAGGCACGGTGGCTCATGCCTATAACACCAGCACTTTGGGAGGCCAAGGCAGGTGAATCACTTGAGGCCAGGAGTTTGAGACCACCCTGGCCAACATGGGAAAACCCCATCTCTACTAAAATACAAAAAAATAGCTGGGTGTGGTGGCACACTCCTGTAATCTCAACTTCTTGGGAGGCTGAGGCAAGAGAATCACTTGAACCTGAGAGGTGGAGTTTGCAGTAAGCCGAGATCGCGTTACTGCACTCCAGGCTTGGTGACAGAGTGATACTCTGTCACCATTAAAAAAAAGAAAGTTGTCAAAACTTTTAAAAGTTTAAATTATTTGACACACTATTCCTCTTGTTTTTTATTTTATGTTTTCTTTTGTCTTTGGTAAGGAAGTAGATGCAGGTAAAATTGTGTATTATAATATATTTCATAGTAATAAAAATTAAAAAGAACCTATATAACTAGAACTTGGGAGCTTGGTAAAGGTATTTAAGGTCCCAAGATAACAGACTATTATATAGGTATTAAAATTAATTATTTTGAAGATTATATAATGACGTGAAACAAACTTCACCACAATTTTAAGTGGAAAAAAACAAAATGCACTACTACATATATTGTATTGTTAATATGTGTTTTGTGAAATGAAAACATCATGCAGGTATATTTAAAAAAACAGAACAAAATTAAAAAGTTAGGCAATCTCTGGGTGGTGGAAATATGGATGGCTTTTATTTTGTTACACTTTTCCAAATTTTAAAAAATGTAGTAGGCCGGGCACGGTGGCTCACACCTGTAATCTCACCACTTTGGGAACTCGAGGTGGGTGGATCACTTGAGCTCAGGAGTTTGACACCAGGCTGAGCAACATGGCAAAACCCCATCACTACAAAAAATACAAAAGTTAGCTGAGCGTGGTGGCGCACGCCTCTGATTTCAGCTACTCAGGAGGCTGAGGTGGAAGGAATGTCTGAGCCCATGAAGTGGAGGTTGCAGTGAGCCAAGATCGCACCACTGCACTCCAGCCTGGGCGACAGAGTGAGGCCCTGCCTTGGAAAAAAAAATTAGTCAATGATGTGTTGTTTTATGAATCAGAATTAAAAAATCCACTATTTTACAAATAAGCAGTGATATACATTTAGGTTGTAATTATTCATTTATGTAACAAACATTCATTGATTATCTCTTGTGTCAGGGGCTCTGCCAAGTGTATCAGCAGTGACTCTTAGATTGCATGCAAATGAAAGAAACTCTGCCTAACTCCAGCAAAAGGAATTTACTAGAAGGATATTAGGTAGCTAAAAGAATTGCCAGGAATGTGGCGGGGGATGGGGAATCCCAAACACACGCACGCGCGCACACACACACACACCCCCCAAAACAGCTTGGAAGCAGATGAAGCTAGTCAGTTCCAGGTCTAGATATCAGGCACTTTGGAAACAGACTCCAGCCAAGAATGACTTGTTCAGAGCTTGACCACAGTCCACTGGCTGCTATGCTTGGGGTTCTTCCCCCACACCCAGCCCACTGGGCATGGGATAGGAGGGGGGGTGCCTTGATTAGTAGGCCCACTACCCCTTTCCAATGAAAGAAACACAAGAGATGTGATGGGTGCTAAAAAGCCAAAACCAAACCAAACCAAACCAAAAAAAGACAACAGAAATGCCCATTACCCTAGGACTTAGGGGTAAACAGGGTTGAATACCACTCATCCCTCTCTTTGCATCCCATAGGAAACATTTGCTATGACATGGGAGTTTAACTTAAGGTTCATGGTCTAATGTTCACTGTGATGTGCATCATTGAAGGTGCAATGTGGGTGCCCCACACAGAAGGTACATTTTCCTCTTGGAGCCAGTAGTGACATGTTGGGAAGAGTGTGGATTTTCAGCCTGATCCTTATATACCGGCAGGAATTTTGAAAGAAAGGTCCCATTTTCTCAGGTAAGAGAAAATCCTAGAAAGGTATAATCTGAAAGAAACAATGAAGCAGAAGCAAGAGGTATAATATGGAAATAGATCAGGCACCAACACAGGTCTAGCCTTCTTTTCTGAATGATCTTACATTCAGCAAGCCCAACAGTCATGTTTGAGTTTAGTTCACCATGAATACCAGCCTCTTGGTTCAATTAACTTTGGTTGATAAAGTTATTATTAACTAAATATTAAAAGATCATACTTAGATCAGTGCATATTCTTACTGCAGTTCTCATGATAAATAGGAAATGTCTGTGGCTGTCCAGGTAACTTAACAATCATGTTGTTGCTTTTATAACTCTTTATAAACTTTTCTGTGAAGAAAGATGACTTGTAAGTGGAAGAGAAAAAAGAGGTAATTGTTCTTCACTTGTGCTTAAAACAGGACAGAGAAAATAATCTTAAATTAGCAAGACAGGTCCCTGTCCTGGTCACTGTATATTAGAGGGCTCTGCTACTCTGCACTCCAACTTCTCAGCACCTGGACAGCACTGCTCCTCTGCAACAAAGACCCCTTGAGCTCTTTGCCTCCTTCTGAGCCTTGCTCTGCATAGCTGGGACCTTGGAATTCACTGCTCATGGGGCTCCTGGGCCCAGTGGGGGTTGAAAAAAGACTGTTGGTGGGAGGTGTAAATGGAGCTTGGACTTGTGGACTTTGTAGTCTCCACACAAGTGCTGGAGGCCATGGTAGAAAGAGAAAGGGATGGGGAGGGGAGCAAAGACTGGGTCTCCTTGCTTTGCTATGTTCTGGAATTTAAGTACTCTAAATTTAAATCTGGCTTCTACGTTGTTATGAAGGCATATTTGTTAAGCCAGGAAGATATAACACATTTAAATTAACATTTTTTTAGCTTGATTTATAGTATTTAAATATTGAGATCTGTAACATGTGGGACTCCTTTTGTACTCTTGTCTCTCAAATGTTAGGATCAGGCCTGCTCAGGTAACTGTTTTAGAAAGGTAACACTCAATTGTTGAGACACACATGCATAATTAGCTAATCATGCAACGGCAATGTAGATTATAAGAAAAATAGATTATACTTTTTGTGACTATAGCTAACATATTGAACAAGATGTGTTAAGCCCACATCCAAGTATTTTACCTATGTATATTAATTAGTCTTCATAAGAACACCATAAAATAGGTCACTCAAGGCAAAATATCATGCAGCTAGATAGAGTCAAGAAGCTCTGGATCATCTGAATCCAAAGGCCATTGTGGTATACAACAATTCAATGGATAAGAAAAGTTTTATCTGAGGTCCTTGAACCTCCGATAATTTAAAAGTCACTAGATTAATCAACCCACTTTGACTCTCCAATACTCTCAAATCCTCAGATTCAGCATTTCTGTTCGTGCAGATTTCCTCATGAAAAGGGAAAGTAAATGAATGGACTGCCTTGCAGTGTTTGGTATTATGATTAACTGAATGTTCCAAACCAAAAATCAATATTTGGTTGTTTGTATAAGAAGCACATTTAACTTACATTTTTAAACAGATGTCCAGTTGTGGGATTTCCTTAGCTAATTTTCAATGGAATTGCCATTGTGTCATTGATGATAAAGGTAAATTGGCCATAAGGTGTACCTTTGTTTCTCTAAAGCACTGGTTCATACCCCTACTACTCTTCTATTACCCTATTTTCCAACTGAACCAAGAAGACTTTCTGCAATCAATATTGGTTCCATCACTTTTGATAACAACTTACATAATGGGGGAAGGAAAGGAAGAAGGGAGAGAAGGGGAAAGAGAAAAACAGAGAGAGAGAGAGAAACTCCCACCTTTGGTTCCAAATATAAGATCTCTGTTAGACACAACAGTTATTAGCTTCATTTCCAATTAAAATTCAAGTTTGGCATACTATTTAAGAAATTCTTTAGCTATTTTCTAGAGGAAACTTCATGTGTTTGCTTCTAATGGTCACTGGATTCATGCAAATGGTGTTTGTATAATAATGATTTTTTAGCTAATTGTTTTTAGCTGTCAGCTGTGTTGCCCCCTTATTTTATAGCTACATTACAGTTTACTGACCCAGGAAGTGAACTTTCTGGAAGAATAGAAAATTCACACTTTATTTGTTTAAAAGAAAGATTCTTCCTCTAAAGTAGGAACAGTTGCTATGTGGGTATGATTTAACTTCTAAAAATAAAAACACTGACGGAGGAGGGGGATTTAAAAAAATTTTACAGAAACAACTTAGAATTTTTCTCATCCTGGTGGTTTTTAGGACAATGTTCTCTCTTCTCTAGGTATTAGAGATAGAGAAACAGACAAACAAAAATAATTTGCCAATAATATTTGAATAATAGTTATTCACGCCTTGAGTTAAGTAGTGGTTTAACCCTTTTTGAGGGTTAAGATAACAGCTACCTACCTGCAGGTTGTGTGCTATCTCTTTCAGATTCCAAGTAGAGTCTACTCTTCTCCTACCCTCACAGCCAAGCAGTATCTAAATTGCAACTTGGCTGGGCGCGGTGGCTCACGCCTGTAATCCCAGCACTCTGGGAGGCCGAGGTGGGTGGATTACCTGGGTCAAGAGTTCGAGACCAGCCTGGCCAACATGGTGAAACCCTGTCTCTACTAAAAATACAAAAAAACATTAGCTGGGCATGGTGGCGCACGCCTGTGATCCCAGCTACTTGGGATGCTGAGGCAAGAGAATCGCTTGAACCCGGGAGGCAGATGTTGCAGTGAGCTGAGATCACGCCACTGCACTCCAGCCTGGGCGACAAAGCAAGACTCTGTCTCTAAATAAATAAGTAAATAAATAAATTGCAACCTAAAAAACATTTTTTGCATGTGCCCCCTTCCCTGTCTCCACTGCCACTCCCCTTTGCATCTCTCAATTAGATCTTCTGTCAGCCTCCTATCTGTTCTCTTTCATTCTTACCTCCAAAATGATCTTCTGTTATCTGAGTATCACACCTTCATTGAAAACTTTCTATACAGCTACCACATTCCCCCACCCTCCCCCTCCCCCAAAATCCTCCCACATGGTTCTGGATTGTTCCTCTCAAACAGTCATCACAATGTTTTGTAGATTTTTTTTTAGCTTCCTTCTTGCACTAAACTGGGAACTCTTCGAAAGCAGGCATCTTGTTTCTTCACCTTTGTATCCCCAGCACCTGGCTTTATGCCTACACATGTCAGGTCTTTAATAAATGTCTATGGATGAATGGATATTACCCAGGCTAAAAAATTTGAATGCAAATGTGAAAAGGCGGTGCTATGATTTAAAAGGCCACTCAAGGCAAAATATCACGCAGTTAGATAGATTCAAGAAGCTGAGTCAAACCCTGTATCATCTGAATCCAAGGCAATCAATGCTGTGGTATACAGCAACTCAGCAGATAAGAAAAGTTCTGTTTGGAGTCCTAAACAAAAATTGGCTAATCTAAAATCAGCTAATCTAAAAGTTATCTCATCCATTTTCTTTAAAAACACACAAACTAGTTTCACACTAATACTGGTTTTCTATTTTCTGTGAATAAAAAAGAGGTAGAGAGAAAGATTAAACCCTCTACCTGTTTCTGGTTGGAGAAAGAAAAAAAATTCCAATATTGGACATGGGTATAAGGTAGAGATTCTAAACACATGGAAAAGAGAGAAAGTGGTGAAGCAAACTATAAGCTGAGAGCCGGCCTCCCCACAATAGAGTAAATAAACTGAGCTTCTTGAAAAACATTGAGAATAATTATTTGATTGCTAGATGCAGCTTAACACCTACTGCTCTATTGTCCCAGACCTGGTATGAATATGCCTAATTGGTGGTGTGATTCCTGCTCAATTATCCCTTGATTTGTGTAGTGAAAGCTGGGGTTTTATATGGTTCTGCCCAAGTCTTCGGCACCAATGTTTCCATAGCAACAGATGCACTATAAAATGAGGAAGAAATCGAAAGTTTGGGAGAGAAATAAATCAAAGCGAGTGATCCCAGCAAGAGGTTCCCCAGGGTGAGTCCCAAGGGCTTTTCAGGCTTCTAGTCAGATATATTTGCGGCAGAATTCTCGGAGATAGAAGATTCTAGGATGATAAATGCCAGGGATTTTTTAAAGCAATATATGGATACTATCTATGACAGCAGTTACCTTGTGTGCTTCAGTTTGGATTTCTAAGGCAAGTTCCTGTGTTGGGATATTAGGAGTCTACACTGGTCGAAAGAATCACTTACCAGTTAGAGCCTACTAACCCCTAGGTAACAGGATATGAAAACTGGAGATTTTTACTATCTTTGAAATTGAATTGAGCTATCCTTCTAAAGCTGAAAGGTGTAGAACACTGTGAATTCTATTAGGTACTAAATATTTGACTATGTCAATTTAGAGCAGTGTCTAATTTTGTGGTATAGATGTGTTCTGTTTAACACAGACAGTGTGAAATTTCCCAGAAAAAAAAAAATCTAGATTTCTGACTTCTCTTATTCAAAAAATCACACACACAAATACAGACACATACACTTAGTTGCAAAATTTGTCAACACTGACCATGTTTCTTCATGGCAATCATTTGCTGTAGCTGAGTAACAGCTGCCTTTAACATGGATCAGTCATGGAGTCTTCACTTTGTCACAGTCCCCATCACTCCCTACTGCCTGTAATCAGGCCATTTTAATTGTTTATGTTACCCTCTTGGTCATTAAAGTCTTGAATGTATAACCTTTGAATTTGAGTGAATATAATTCAAATTATAACCTTTGAATTGCTCTATATTTTTGGATCATTTTATCCTCATATATTGTGTCTTCTTAATTTTGCTTCCCAAAAATATGGACCAACTTATTTAATAATTTAAATATAACGCAAATGACATTTTAGAAAGATGCATTTTAAAAATTTTATCCTAGAAAAAAAATTTAGAAGTAAGACTTTATGCTGGTATGAATTTTATTTAAAAGTATAGAGTTTAGAGATATTTGGTAAAAACATTTGCATAAATAGGCTGCTGCAACTACTTTTTCAAAATTTCTTTCAACACTGGACAATTTTTTTAAAATTTCTGTTGTGTTTTATTTGAACTAAACTGAAATGGAAAAGAAATCATATGGTCTTAAGCTTGCTGGAGGTAGGGATTATCAAAACGCAAAAGGATGGTATCATATTTCATATGATATTATCATCTGGAAAATATAAAACTTTCACAATGCAACTGTGCTCACAGCAGTGAAGTAGAACCTTATAAATGATATGCATTCTGTAGAATGGCTGGAAAAATCTCAAAATCAATATTGGAATCACCCAGGGCAACTAAGAATAACAATATCACTGTACCTTACTAAAAAATAATAAAAAACAAGTGAGATAGAAAATTCCAGAGTTGTCCCTAGAGTTTTTATTTGCTTGGGATAGAAGGATGATAGCAGTAGCTTCCCATTTCTTTTCAGACCTCAATTTTATTTTAAACACAGAGCACAGTCCACCCACTGAAAAGAATTTTCTTTTCTACAAAGACCAGGGTGTGCAATGACTGTGAGTATCACTGTAAAACAGAAGAACATTTGGCTCTAAGTTACTCACTTAACTAGTAGGATCAAAACAAGATAACTGGATCTGTCTATTAGGCTAGTGTCTGTTTATGTCTGCTTTCTCCTGTAAAGACTAGATTAAAAAATAGGAAACAGATGTTACAATGAACATTCCCAACGAGTCACTCACCCATTCAGCAGCTGCACCTTGAGTACTATTCTGCTTACTTCAGGTGGCATGTACCATGAGGAGGCATATCAATGAATATAGAAGATAAAAATGTTCTTCTGTGAACATAGAAGATAAAAAAAGAAGGAGAGACAGACAGGAAACAGCATAATAAATAAATGTATAGAATGCCAGAAGGTCATCAGTGCTTTATAAAATAGAGTGGGATAAGGGAAATCAAAAGGGCTGTGATGGGTGGCAGTGAAGGGCGTGATTTTAAATAGGATGGTCAGAATAGGTATAATTGAGAAAGTGACATTTGAAGGAGGAGAGGAAATTGCCGTGTAGATACACATGGGACAGCATCCCAGGTAGGGATGGGGACCATTTTTGCAGTGCACTCCAAATTGCATATGATTTGTCTCCTGCAAAGACCCTCAAGTTTTTTCATTTGGAAGTAGAATTTTAGTGCTGGTTCAAACCCTAACCTCATTCTAATGCTGCTAAGGACACCATTACTCCAGTCCTGCCAATTCTTCTCTAGATAAACCATAACTGCTTTTTGGAAATTTTTTTTTAAGAGGCAGGGCCTCACTTTGTTGCCCAGGCTGGTCTTGAACTCCTGGCTTTAAACAATCCTCCTGCCTTGGCCTCCCAAAGTGCTGGAATTATAGGCATAAGCCACCACACACGGCCTTCCTTTTGGAGATTTAATATTCTTTCTCCATTTTGGTTTAATTCAAATGAAACACAACAGGGATTTTTTTGAAACTGTCTAATATTTAAAAAGTATGGAATTATGGCACATACTAGGTATTTGTTCAGTTTTTTGTTTGGTTATAGAAAGAAAAGATGTGCCTCAGAGTTAAAACAATGATTGAGCAGTAATCAAGTTCTTTGAACATGTATTATATGCCAGATATTGTGTTATATGTTTTGTAAACACTATCTCATTTAATTCTTGCAGTAGGCTTATAAATTAGGTGTTATCATTATTCCCATTTTATGGCTAGTAAATAGCAGATTGTGCTGCCTTGCTCTATTGATTAAGATTAATCTTCTACAAGCACAAAAAAAAGGTAAAAAGTATTTTCTCAAGTTCTAAGTGTAATTCCTTTAACTTCCTCTATTTTAGTTAGGATTTCCCCCCCAGAAACAGACCTTGAGGCAAGGATTCGAGAGCAAGTAGTTTACTTGGAACGTTCATGGAATACCGTTAAGAGAGAGGGCAAGTAACACATGGAAGGGGAGTTTATTAGTCTGTTCTCACACTGCTAATAAAGACATACCCAAGACTGGGTAATTTATAAAGGAAAGAGGTTTAATGGACTCACAGTTCTACATGGCTGGGAAGGCCACGCAATCATGGTGGATGACGAAGGAAGAGCAAACGATCGTCTTACATGGCGGAAGGCAAGATTAATTGTGCAGGGGAGCTCATTTATAAAACCATCAGATCTGTGAGACTTATTCACTACCAAGAGAACAGTATGGGGGAACCACCCCCATGATTCAGTTATCTCCACCTAGCCCCACCCTTGACACGTGAGGATTATTATAATTCAAGGTGAGATTTGGGCGGGGACACAGCCAAACCATATCAGAAACTGTCAGTCCATTCCTGCTGCTATAACAAAATACATTAGACTGGGTAGTTTTTAAATAATAGAAATTTATTTCTCATAGTTCTAGAGGCTTGGAAGTCCAAGATCAAGGCACCAGCAGATTCAGTGTCTGGAAAGGGCTTCTCCTCTGTTCAAGATGGCATCTTGTTGCTATGTCCTCCAGAGGGAAAAGGATGAATGCTGTGTCCTCACATGGCAGAAGGGTAAAAAAGGGATAAACTTGCTTCCTTAAGCTTTTCTTATAAGGACACTAATCTCATCTATGACAGTGGAGCTCTGATGGCCTGATCACCTGCTAAAGACTCTTAGTATTTTTACCTTCAGGTTTAAGTTCCAACATGTGAATTTCAGAGGGACATGTACATCTAAATCATAGCAGAAAGGCTGCCAAAATTAGAGTATTAAAATAGAGGAACTGGGAAATGGTATAAAACTCATGCCTCCAAATCAGTCCACCCAAAGGGGAGGGAACTGAGATATTTATACACCAACTCCCATCAGTCATTAGTTGAAGGCTGTTCCCAGAGAATGTTAGTTTCTCTGTACTTCCAAACTCCCATGATATGGAAAAGCCCTTAGAAACACAGATACTGACTGTTGGAAGTCAGTAGGCATATGGGTGGATACTAATAAGGCTTGCTACATCTATACCTGTTGCCTCCCTTGTCATGTGCCTGCCAAACTTCAGAGATCCTTTAGAAGTTGTTGTAAGAAAAGAAAATTTATCTTCTGCTAGTCAATTGTGAGCTATTGATTGGGCAATTTATTAGTGTAGACAAGAACATTCCATGTACAGTGGGTAAAAGAGCATTGAGCCAGAGTGTTAAGTTGCCCTCAAAGTCATTTCCAAATGAACAAGATGATATAACTATAGGTGTTCAATTGTACATAATTAAGCAGGGAGCTGTTATTATAAACGCATCTAATGTTGAAAAATGAAACATAAGTAAGGCTACAACTGACCTTGTAATGAAACAGAAAGATAAAATATTCCTAAGAGTAAATCATTTGACTGTGTAATGTAATGTAATTGCTTTTTTTTTTTTTTTTTTGAGACAGATCTCACTCTGTTGTTACCCAGGCTGGAGTGCAGTGGCAGGATCTCAGCTCACTGCAACCTCTGCCTCCTGGGTTCAGGCAATCCTTCAGCCTCAGCCTCCCAAGAAGCTGTGACTACAGAGATGCACCACCACACCTGGCTAATTTTTTGTATTTTTAGTAGAGATGGGGTTCACCATATTGCCCAAGCTGGTCTCGAACTCCTGAGCTCAGGCAATCTGCCTGCCTCAGCCTCCCAAAGTGTTGGGATTATAGGCGTAAGCCACCACACCGGGCCTGCATTCTTGTAGGGTACTGGTGGACCAGTTGATAAGCTGTATCTTCCATGGCATTATTTGGAACTCTATATCCCCAAAAATGTTGTTCATGCCCATGATCATTTTTAGGAATAGCTATCTTGAAACTTGGGAAAGCTGGAGAATATATAATACAAAATGATTTTGAGTCTGTCTTGCAAGAAACCCCAAACCAAAAATAATTTTGCATGGAGAAAGAAGAGAATGTAACAAGTATGCTGAGAGCAGAAACGCAAGTGTTAGTCCTCTGTATGTGTGGATAAACAGTAAATGTCAGTGAATTTTAACTGAGTGATAAAGTGTATTTGATCAGGAAAAAGTGAAGAATGGATGTTGGGCAGTTAGCAGCCTGAAGTAGGATCTCAAAAATAACCCAGGTGGCTTTCTCGATGAGAATGTATCAGTTGAGGTCGTTTAGGATAGTAGAGAAGGTGTTTTAAAATTGTGGAGCAAGAGGGGGATCCAAAGTTAGGTCATATCAGTGATTGCCAATAGGATACTCAGGTTAGGCAGGCTACAAAGTATTGTGTTCTGAAAATAATCACAGTTAACCTTGGATTTGAGATATGGATGGGTTTTAAGAAACTCATCATCTTTTTTTGTTTGTTTGACAGAGTCTCGCTCTGTTGCCCAGGCTGGAGTGCAGTGGCATGATCTTGGCTCACTGCAACTTCCGCCTCCTGTGTTCAAGCAATTCTCCCACCTCAGCCTCCTGAGTAGCTGGGATTACAGGTCCCCACCACCATGCCCAGCTAAATTTTGTATTTTTAGTAGAGATGGGGTTTCACCATGTTGGCCAGGCTGGTCTCGAACTCCTGACCTCAGATGATCCGCCTGCCTCGGCCTCCCAAAATGCTGGATTACAGGTGTAAGCCATCGCACCTGGCCATTATCATTGGTATGGACAGGAAACCTGTTTTACACACCAGAGGGCACCATGGGTTCTAGAGTTTCCCACTTGGAGTAACAGAAAAGTGTTCAAAATTTCTGGTGTTCCTAAAAGAATAAAGAGAAGAAATTTGGGGAGAGCTATCAGGGCTGGAGGAAGAGTGGTGCTTAGGGGCTTTGCATCACCAACATTGAGCCTTCCTTTACCACCTTGGGTTACTCTAATTGTTGAACCTGAGTGTTACAGTTCTGCTCTTCCCTGGTTCTCATTTCAGGGCTCCCCATTCAGTTCCTTTATATTCAGGGCTTCCGTGTTACACAGCTTCAGAAGACAACATTCACATCTGAGGTGATTCCACTTTTGTTGTGCCTGCCTTGGTCCATACTTTGTAAAATGGGTCCCCTTGCTTCTTAATTATGTGTGTTTTGTTCTCCTTCTTTGTCCCATTGGACTGGAAGAGGCAGGAAGGAAGAGGCTAAATTTTATCTAGTTAAGTTAGAGCATCTGGCATAGCACCTTCCACGTACAGTTGCTCAATAAATTTTTACTAAACAAATGAATTCAATAAGAATTCTGTGACCTACTGAGACTTACATCTCCTTTAATCCAAATAGCAGCCCCATGGGTTACATATTGCCTTCATTTCTCCTTGGAGGAGGTGAGGAGTAGATCAATGAATGGACACAGTGAGTAAAAACAACTCTTTCAATAAAAATAGGTTGTGGCCCAATTTAATTAGACTCTAAAATGAAATAGGAGAGGCCTTCTGCATATAGGGGAAATCTGAGTTTTATAAAATGCATTTAAAGAAAATAAGCTTTCCTTCTACTTATTTCTAACTCTCAAATTCATTTTCATGACAGTTGATATTATGAGGAGGAAATAATGAATAGATTTTCTATAGATTAAACTTGTCTTTGCAGCTGGATGTTATGGGAAGCAGGGCGTATCTTCAACAGGATTCTTTTGTTTGAAAGGGGCAGAAACCCAACTCAAAGTGGATCAAGAAAACTAGGAATTTGTTGACCTGTATAGCAGAAGCATCCAGAAATACAGTTGGATCGGGAGCTCAAAAACATTATCCTGGTGCCATTTCTTCCCCATCTTTCAGCTCTGAGTGTTTCTGTATAGTTTTCTTTCTTGGGCAAGCTATCTTATTTTTCTGGCAACATGGACAGCCCCCCTACAGCTCTTGGGTTTAGATCCTACTGATCTCAAAATCCAGCAAAAAATACTCTCTAGCCCAATAGTTCTAACAAAAGTCTCAGGATTGAATTTCAGTAGTTCTAATATAACATTTGTGGGTCATGTGCCAGTACCGGTTCCTTGTCTAATTACTGTTGCCTGGGGAATGTGTGGCTTTTGTATTCCCACCTGGGTCCAAACCCACCCCTAGAGTCAGAAATCAGAGTGGAGTTACTTTCTCCCAAACCACCTTGACAGAGAACGGGGGTAGAGAGGATCTGCAAGGATTATCAGGAGGCCATTATCAGAAGCATAGCAAAGAATGTGGTCAGGCAAAAAAAAAAATGTTTTTTAAATGTTCATTAGTGTAGGTAAAAGTAAAATTGAGCAATATAATTATAGTCTCCACAAAGATTTCTGACCCAGTGAAATTTCTCTGGTCACAGGTTCGTTGGCCCTAATTTACTGGACTGATTGCATTTGAAAATATCTATCTTTTCCTGGAAATGAACTATAAGTTACCAAAGACACCATACAGAGACTCTTTAGCCCTATCCTCTTGTGATCTTAGCTCTTCATCTTTGTGTCCTATTTTGCCATTGTACTGCTGCTTCTATTTTGAAACCTTGGTAAGAAATAGATTTGTGTTGGTTTACTGATTTAGTCTGAAATTAAAATGAAAAATCATTTGCATATTCAGAACCTTACTTAATGGGAGGGAAATCGGTGATAAAATTGCATCCTAAACATTTCTCAGGGAAATGAACTTATAGTGAGTTAGTGAGGACATATTGTCATTACAAGGTAACATGAAATATATGCACCCAAGCCCTCAGCTTATCCTGATGCTTTCTTTCTTTGGCTTTCTCATGCAGAGTATATTTTCTCTCAGTGATTTAAGTGATTTGGTATTATTTTGTCCTATATAGCTTCATGTTTTATTAGATCAATTCAACTTTTGGACAAGACAAATTGGAAAGTAACTTTGATAGCTACTATATGTTATTTGGCTGATATTATTTAGTTGAAATGATGTCCAATACCCATGTTTCTTTATATTTGCAGTCCTTCATACCAGCCTGTGTTCTATTTTTACAGTGATACAGCTATCATTTTGTTTGGTTTTAGATGTTCATGCATTCTAGAGAAAGTGGAAAACTTAGAAGCCTAATTAATGACTGTCTTCTGGACCTCTGAGACCATGTTTCTAGTGTTTTCCGTGGAATATTATCAGGTATAGACTTTATGATAATTTTCATCCATTCAGAGATTAAATATTAAATTGCTTTAGGAATATTACGGTCTATGTGCATCTGTTCAGATATATTTGCTTTCCTTGGAATGCTTTGAATTCTTGGTTTTTGCAGATTATCAGTCTCCACCAAGATTCATCCTTGCGAGATACTGTTCCCATGTTAATGGAGGGTGTTTCAGTGATATTCGTTAAAGCAGAGTAAAAAATACTTTATTTAGGGCCATCATGATAGGTAGAGGGACCGAGCAATGAGATTTCACAGTGAGGGACAGAGATGGAGCTTAACTCTGAACACAGCATGGACCAGTAGTAATTTATATTGCCAAGGAGCAGAGTAGGAGTGGATGGAAAATTACCAAGAGGAAACATCTGGGTAAGGAGGATGGCTAAACTGACCTAATGGGATTCTTGCTTAAGACAGTCCAGCATGATCAGACATACCTGAGGAATAATGGAAGAGGAGGAAGAATCTGATCAGATATGGAGAGTGATCAGATGTCAAGGTGGAAGGATTTTGCTAAACTGACTTAGCAGGGTATTTTGTTAAAACTGGATTTTAAAAGGAAGTGAACAGATACCAAGGGTGTTTACTCTGAATTTGCATTTCTTCTTTTGTGTTTCTTTTTAAAAAATCCTTCTTTGATTTTACAACAGAAGGAGTTGAGTATTTGTTTTAGATAAATAAAAGCTGGATTTTATGTGGCAAAGATAGCTGATGACCCCTAGCTGCTCTGTGTTCCTATGAAGAAAGTCCCACTGCCAGAGATTGGCCATGCCTGGCCTTCACCAGGTGTGACCTCATTAACTGAGAATTGATAGCTTTGGAATTTGACATAAATCATAGAGTGTGTGCAAAGGCAGTTTATGTAATGGGTAAGAGATTGGATTATGGACTTGGCAAGCATGGATTGTAGACCCTGTCCAGACCACTAGTTGTGAAAATTGGTCAAATTTATTAGTTTCTCTAAGCACTGATTTCCTAAGCATTAAAAAAATATTATTAGGTACCTTGTTTGGGCTGCTGTGGGTTGTCATCACTCCATCCAAAATGTGACTCTGATTTACTTTCTACATATTTTTTTCACCATCTGAAATTATCTCGTTCATTTATCTGTTTATTTTCTGTTATCTTTCTTCTTCACCAGTAAGATATCTTTCCCCGGAGATTAAGGATCTTGCCTATTTTGTTTGGCCTGCTATCTCCAGGGCCTGGCACATATTAAGAGATCACTATTGTGTGTGTTGAAGGAAGAAATGAATGAATAAATCGGGCTTAGCAGAGAAGTAGGCACTTAGTAGTGCTCAATGAATGTACATTATGACATTTGCTGGTACCTGAAGCTCTTCTATGTGTAGACTTGAAAGTCTTTCATTTGGATAGATTTTTAAAAAAATTATACGTATTTAAAATCATGGAAACTGAGAGCTTGAAATTGTAGTTTTGAGACTCCAATTCAGCCAAAAACTGTTATAATGTTGAGTGTTCTTATTTACATAATTCTTTATTTTTAATTTTTATTATTTATTCATGTAGTTAGTTTTAGAGACAGGATCTCACTATGTTGCCCAGCCTGGACTCAAACTCCTAAGCTCAAGTGATCCTCCTGCCTCAGCCTTCCTTGTAGCTGGGACTATAGGTGTGCACCACCATGCCTGGCTTGTATAATTCTTAAACTCATATTATACTATAAGTTTCCTCCTGTAAAATAAATACCAGGTCTCAGCAGTTAGTAGCAGACACAAGATTCCAGGTGTCCCATATTCTCTATACCTTGCATCATCTGCATAGTAATGGTTACAGTAGAAAAAATAGAACTGATACCAGTAGTAATAGTCATGGCTGCTGTACTAGTCAGGGTTCTCTGGAGAAAGGAGATTTATTATAAGGTATGGTATTGGCTCACATAATTATGGAAGCAGAGAAGTCCCATGATCTGCTATCTGCAAGCTAAAGACCCAGTCAAGCCAGTTGTGGGGTTCAAAAGCCTGAGAACCAGAGAGAAAGTATGGATTCCAATCTGAGTCAGAATACCTGAGAACCAGGAGTGCAGAGAACAGGAGATAAGACTGATGTCCAAGCTCAAGCAGTTAAGCAGAGAGCAGATTCAACCTTCCTCTGCCTTTTTGTTCCATTCAGGCCCTCAATGGATTGGATAATGCCCACTCATGTTGGGGAAGGCAATTCACTTTACCCAGGCTGCTGATTCAAATACAAATTTCTTCTGGAAACACTCCGATGGACATACCCAGGAATAACATTTAACCAGATATGTGGGCATTCTGCGATCCAGTCAAGTCGACACATGATGTTAACCATCACAGCAGTTAACCTTTATTTCGCTATTAATGGGACAGATAATATACTCATAATAACCCTATGAAGTTAGTACAATTGTAATTCCTGTATTTAATTTTAATATTTAATTTTTTAAATTTCCCAGGAACACAGATTCAAGTTGCCCAGAATATATGCTCCCTATAATCACATATTTCAGAGGACAAAACTGAGGCTTTAGAGGCCACACTGCCACTTTCTGAACCCAGTCAAGTCTTTCTCCAGAGCCTGCCCTCATAACCCTGAAGTACTGACCCCAGAGTTCCAATCTCCTATAATTCAGAACTTTCATGAAATCAGACTGACTTTAGACACCAATGACTCAGAACTAGGGAGTTCTATTGTAGTGTGACTTTGGAGCTCTCTGAATGGTGCATGTAATTTCTGTTTTACAGAGCAACCTTCATTATGAGAAGCTGTGTGTCTGGCCTGAAGGAAGGGAACACTAGAGAAGGGGCTGGTTGGTTTGAGTTATGTGACAGTCTGGCAGGAACTGTCATTTGGCATGTGAAATAGAAGCATATTGGATTTTATTTTCCCCTGAGTAGGTTGGTGGGATTAAATTTAATTACCATTTTAATAAGCAGAAGAAAGGAACAATCCCAAATAGTAGAAACAAAAAGAATTGCTATGGTAGACCACTAATCATTAGAAAGACTTATTTTTGAATCATGAGGGACCACAGTGAGAAAAGCAGAAAATTCAGAACACAGAGAATTATAACCGACGGGACCATTGCAAAATTATACCTGAACGACAGTTTGACAAGTGAAAGTAATTACTGTTCCATGTCAGAGCTGGGGAGGGTCTGTCTTAGGGGATGGAGCAATGAGGATGGCCCAAACCTGAGTGTATGGATTTGTAGAGCTGCTTCAGAAGGGAGGGATGGCCCAGTAATGTCAACTGAGGCCTAATCATGACTTTCTTCCCAAGAAACTCCAAGGACTACACACATGCATTTCAGTTTTCACTCTGTGTTCCTGAGGAATGATGGCAGGCATTCATATTCATATTTTCAATGCAGATATTAAACCAGATTTATATGGTGCTATGGTTTGGATATGGTTTGTTTGGCCTTGCCAAGTCTCTTGTTGAAATTTGATCCTCAGTGTTGGAGGTGGGCCTGGTAGGAAGTGTTTGGATCATGGGGGCGGATCCTTCATGAATTTTTTGGTGCCATTCTCGAAGGAGAGAGTGAATTCTCACTCTTATTTCCTGCAAGAACTAGTTGTTGAAAAGAGCCTGGCATCTCCTCCTTTCTCTTTTGCTTCCCCTCTTGCCACATGATCTCTGCACACAGTAGCGCCTCTTTGCCTTCCACCATAAGTGGAAGCTGCCTGAAGCCCTCAACAGAAGCAGGTGCAGGTGCTATGCTTCTTGTACAGCCTGCAGAACCATGAGCCAAATAAACCTTTTTTCTTTATAAATTACCCAGCCTCAGGTATACTTTTATAGCAACACAAACAGACTAAGACATATGGCTAGCAATATAGATAGCAAAAGCGTCACATGACTTCCAGGTGTCCACCCTCGTGTCATTGCTGTTGCCTGCACAAATGCTCAAAATATGGCATTTGGGGATTCTGAATCCAAAAATGATTCAGGATAGTCAGATTATGAATGGACAGATACTTTAGTAAGAATTTAGCTGATTTGTTTTTCTTATATATTTATTTTTTATGTATGTATTTTATGAAAGAGTGGCATATGATATAAAGCTCTGACTCAGTAAATCTAAAAGAACACTTTTACAAGGTAAACTAAAAACTCTAATAGTTAACAGTGTTGTGATATTTTAATTGGCAACTCTTTTTTCTTTCTCAGTGATTCCTAAAATAATGGTGCATCTTGCAATTCTTGGTGTCTTGGTCAATTAAATTCTTGGTCAATGAAATATGGCAATATTAACCACAATCATTTTTTCAAGACATGCTAGACACAGTGTTAAGCCCTTCATGTGCATTATATGATTTATTTTCATTCTCATTTCACTGATGATGAAACTGACTCAAACAGCTAAAAAACCTCACAAAAATGCCCATAATTTCATAACAATTCCTATGTAGAATCTTTCAACGGCCTCACTTTGGATCTAAATAAAATGTAAACTCCTTGCCTTGTTTATAGTACCCTTTTCTAACATAGTCCTGCCTACTCTTCCCACTTCATCTCATACCATTCTCTGCCTGGCCATCCTGTTGAAGTCCACTGCAATTGCACTTGCCTAGAATGCACTTGACCAAGAACCTGATGGACCTGGCTCATTCTTGTTTTTCAGATCTCAGCTTATATGCTTCCTATTCAGAAAGGTGTTTCTGACATTCATCCTAAAATAGCCAGTTAATCTCTATCCTATCATATGGGTTCATTTTTATTTAAAGTAATTTTTTGAAGGTTAACATATACACAAAAAAGGACACACATTTTAAGGCTATAACTGGATGAATTTTCACCAAGTGAGCACACCTTTGTACAAGCACCCAGAAGCCCTTGCTGGATTTCCTTCTAGTTGCTCACTACACCCAAGGGCAAATGCCATCCTCAGCTTTGTCGGCATCGATTAAAATTGGAATCATAAAGTCCTCATTTGTGCCTGGCTTCTTTCATTCACTATGTTATTAGTAAGATTCATCCGTGAGGTTTTGTGTAGTTGCAGTTCACTTATTCTCATTGCTATATAGCATTCCACTGTATGAATACACCACAGTTTTTTCTGCTCTTGGTGGACATTGGCTGGTTTTCCATTTAGGGCTATTACAAACACTGCTGCTATGAACGTTACTGAACATTTTTTGGTGAACATCATGTGAATTAATTTTAACTGTATTACTTAAAACTATGTGGTATGTATTTGCCTATTTAAACTTTTTCTGTCTAGCTTTACCCCCATCACAATGTTACTCCTAAGATGGTAAAGACCTTGTTTATATTTTTTCTTATTTTATTTTTGAGCTTTATTGAGGTATACCTGTCTTACAATATACACCCATGGAATTGTTACTGTGGTTAAGCTAATGAACATATCTGTCACCCCCAAAAGTTTGTCCTTGCTCCATAGCAGTCCCTCTCTACCACTTCTTCCCGTAGCTCCTATATCTCCTACCCTAGGTCCCTATTGCTCTGTTTTCTGTGATGT
This sequence comes from Homo sapiens, assembly GCF_000001405.40. Classification (NCBI taxonomy): domain Eukaryota; kingdom Metazoa; phylum Chordata; class Mammalia; order Primates; family Hominidae; genus Homo; species Homo sapiens. The sequence continues at coordinate 9,813,187 of NC_000020.11, read as the reverse complement.
TCATTAGTTTGGATTTTCTAGAATTTTTTATATACGTGAAATCATACATAAGGTACTCTTATTTTGCTTTCACTCATCACAGTTATTTTGGGATTCATCTATATTGTTGCTTATATCAATAGTTTATTTCTTTTCATTTGTGAGTGGCATTCCATTGTATGGTTATACTATATAGTTTGCTATAGATTTTTTAGCTTTAAGTTACTATTAAACTTTTTTATTTTTATTTTTTATGGATACCTAATAGTTGTACATATTTGTGGGGTACTTGTGAAGTTTTGATACAAGCATACAATGTGTAATATCAAATCAGGGTAACTGGGATATCCGTCACATCAAGCATTTATTATTTCTTTACATTAGGAACATTCCAATTTCACTCTTCTAGTAATTTGAAATATACAATAAATTATTGTTAAATGTAGTCACCCTATTGTGCTACTGAGCATTAGATCTTATTCCTTCTAACTATCTAATTTGTTTATCCATTCATCTGTTGATGTGCATTTGAGTTGATTCTAACTTTTGCCTATTAGAAATGATGCTACTATGGACATTTATGTATGAACTTTCATATATATCCCTCTACTTCCCTTGGGTGTACATCTAGGAGTGTAATGGGTGGGTCATATGGTAGGTACATGTTTAACTCTATAGGAGACTATCAACCTGTTTTCTGTCTGAGAGTTCCAATTGTTCCAACACTTTATAGTAAGTCTTTTTAAAATTTTTGCTAATCTGATAGGAGTGGTGATATCTCATTGTGGTTTTATTTCACATTTCCCCAATGACTAATGATGTTGAACATCATTTTTATATGTTACTTGCCATTTGTACATCTTCTCTGGTGATATTGTCTCTTCAAATTTTGTGTTGATTTTAAACATCGTTTTTTTTTTGTTATTGAGCTTATGAAATTCAAAAATAAATATTCTAGATATAAGGCCTTTTTAAGGTATGTTATTCAAATATTTTCTCCCAGACTGTGGCTTGACATTTCATTTTTATAATAGTCTTTTATTTTAATGCTGTCTTCCTAGGAACTAGAATAGTGATTGGCACATGTTGGTGCTCAAAAATATTTTCTTGAAAAGACCTAGTGAAAGGTGATCCCCTAGGAAATATCTTAGATTCTAAAACAGGTTTGAGCAACCCCATTACCCCTAATATTATCAATATACATTACACAACTAGGTATGTATATGATGTAGGTGCTATAATTCATTTTCTTTATGAGAATAAGGAAACTGAGGTGGATGGAGATAAACTCACCTTAATCAAAGTCACCAAGAGAGAAGCCAGTGTTTGAAGAAGGCAGTCTGACTCCATAGTTTTTGGAGGGTGTGGTTTGCAGAAGGGATGTAGAATGGTTAGAAGGAGCATAGTAACTTCTTCCATTGTCCAACTTTGCATTGTTTCAGTGGCGGGGTGAGCACATGTTATTCTTAAATTTTGGAAGTGTGCTTTAAAGATAATATTTGAAAAGAATACATGTATTCAAGTGCTGGACTACATAATTTGAATATATAGATACATACAAGATTGACTGAGTTTCTAGATGTATAGACCAGCTAGGTTGAATGCAGCCATTCTTGTTCAGTTCCGTGGGCTGTCCAGTCTCAGGCAGTCATGCAACCTTTAAGAGAGTGAAAGTAGTTGGCCTCTGGTCATAGTGCCACTTCTCCCTTCTGTTCTCACTCTGTATTATTAGACTAATATCCCCTGCATGGTAGAATTTGTCCTGGACTGTTCTTTATTAGTAAAAACCAAAACAAACCAAAAGCTTTCTTTTTTACCCCTGAATTCTAGGAACACATATTTCTTTTTGGGGTGGGGGAGAGAGAGAGACAGAGAGAATGTTTTAGTAGCATTTAGGAGTTACTGGGCGGCCTTTGGGAAGTGGCATCCATAGGAGAACTGTGAGACAGTATACAATGTCACGATGATAAGTACATTTCAAGAAATCAAATTTGATCATATTTTGGGGCAGATTAATTTATAAGGAGGGGATCATTGGCCAGTACTTTGTAAACAATCTGGAGCTCATTTTGCTCAAATTAAATATTCCATAGTCATTAAATAGATATTCAAGTAGTGCTTAGGCAGCACAGAATATATGAAAATCTGCAGCAAATCATACTATCCACATAAACCATTATACTGCTTCTATTGCTGATGTGGCTGCCAGATGTCTCTTTTGTGAGCTGGATTCCATAGTGTTTTTCATATCTCTAGAGTTATTTGAATAGTTACTTCTTGAATATCTAGCAACTGTATGTGCATATGTATGTATGTATATATGTATGCATGTGTATGTATATATGTCTATGTGTCTATGTGTATGTGTGTATATATACGTGGTGAAACTTAACTTTGCAAGTCTTTTATTCATTTTTGTGAGATATGGTGAAATGTGATCTTGTACATTTTTATTAATGCAGGTTGGGAAACAGATTCTCCATTAGGGTAATAGCAGAGAGGGTACATTTTAGGTACATTTTGCAATTAGACAATTTTAACAGCTACTGGTCAAAGTATTATTTAAATTTGGCATCACACTTAAGAAATATAAACTGTTGTGTCTAAATTAAGCCTAGTTAAACACTGCCCTTGATACATTCTTTCTTGCTTCCTTTTCTTTGGAGACAGGGTCTTGCTGTGTCACCCAGGCGGGAGTGCAGTGTTGTGATCACGGCTCACTGCAGCCTTCCACTTCCTGGGCTCAAGGGATCCTCCCACGTCAGGTGCACACTTCCTGGCTAGTTCTTTTAATCTTTTGCAGAGGCAGGGTCTCACTTTGTTTCCCAGGCTGTTCTCAAACTCCTGGGCTCAAGCAATCCTCCCACCTCAGCCTCCCAAAGTAACTGGACTACAGGCATGAGCCACAACGGCTGGCTGTTTGATACATTCTTGGTTTGCCTTGCTATTTGTATTTTCCTAAAAGCGCATGCTGGGGTCACCTTTGGTGCTTTCAAATTTACAACCTCTGGACCCCATTCCATGTGATTCTGGTTTTATTGATCTGGTATGTAGTGCTGAAAGCCCTCCAGGAGCAGAGGAGGTTGGGAACCACTGCTGCACAGGTGGAAGGAGCCTGGAAGTGCATCTGTGACCATGGACTTAACTCTGACAAAAATAAGGTGGTAAAATGAAAGGAATGAGTCTCGGGAGGATGTAGCAAATGTAATTTTAGCATTGGAAGGGAGAGCTTCGGCGTTAGGAAAATGCTTACAAAATGGAATGTCAGAGGAAAGATAAATAGAATCCTATGGCCAGAGTCTTCCAAAGTTTGACAGCTTAAAAGAATGGAGAGGCTTCCTCAGAGTAAAATTCTGACCTTGCAGCCATTCAAGTAGTATTCTCCGAAGAGTGGTTCTGGTAAACCTGTTATGTTAGGTAGTTCATAAGCTTTTAAAAATCAGTGACAGCTATGAGTCAATATAAAGTTGGTTTAAATGAAATTGTAAATAAATAATTGTACAGGTGCTGTGTGGTAGAAATCAGGAAGGTGGGATGTGAATAGTTTAAGAAATGTTTGACAAACAGCCATTAAACACAAAGCATCTTAAAAAAACTATAATGACAGCACAAAGAGCTCCTGAGCTCAGAGTTTTGAAGGAGTGGTGCTTATAAATACACCCAATTAAGTCCCTGATGGGAGGAAAAAAATCTAGTTATTTGCCTGAGTGTGATCATTCAGTTGTCTCAGCTGTTACTTTCTAAAAGCAGATACTTGTGGCCTCATGGTATGTTCTTGTTTTCTCCTTTTTATTTTTTTAAACACCAAGTTATTCCCAAACCCTAGAATCGGAGTCATTATCATGATGAGCCTGCCAAAAAAAAAAAAAAAAATTTGGATTGCCTCAACAGAAAAGTAGTATCACTTGTTCTCTAACTGAATTGTTCATTTTGCAGGGTCAAGTTACCTTTCCAGACAGTCTGATTTGAGAGATCTGGTGTGAGGCCCTGAGATCTATATTTTTAAGTAAGCTTCATAGTATATCTAGTGTATGCTAAAGGCTCAGAATGTTGGCTGAGAATTTGGAGATGATGTTGATGATGTTTCCCACACTGGCAAGGGCACCCATCTCCCTTCCAGAAGTAGCATCTAAACAAAATTATAAGCAATTTCATCACATAAAAAATAGAATAATATAAAGAACATCGACATACCTACCACCCAGTGTAACAAATAGCATATTACTAATATACTAGTTGATTCCTGTATACTTCTCCCCAGATTGCATTACCTTCTGTTTTTCTAGAGATAATCATTCTTCTCATTTTTTAAAACAACAGATTTACTGAGTTATATTCATATTGCATACAATTAAAGTATACAATTCAATGATATTCACAGAGTTGTACAGCCATCACCACAATCAATTTTAGAGCCTTCTCATCAACTCAGAAAGAAACTCAGTCACCACTAGAAAGCATCCCCTATTTTCCCCTACCCCACCAAACTCCAAGCCTTATACTCCTACCAGTTTACTTTCTAACTCTATGAATTTGCCTGTTCTGAACATTTCATATAAATGGAATCATACAGTACTTATTCCTTTGCGATCGCTTCTTTCACTTAGCATAATGTTTTCAAGGTTCATCCATGTTCTAGCATGGATCAGTATTTCATCCCTTTCTGTGGCTGAATAATTTTTGTTTAGCCATTCTTCAGTTGAAGGACATTTGAATTGTTTCTGCTTTTTGGACATTATGAATACTGCTTCTTTCATAAACAGTCATGTACAAGTTTGTGTGTGAACATACATTTTCAATTCTCTTGGGTACTTACCTAGAAGTGCAATTACCAAGCCATATGGTAACTCAGTTGAGGAACGGCCAAACTGTTTTCAAAGAAGCCACTCCCTGGGTGTTGATACTTCTTATTTTCACATACTTTTTTGTACTTCTCCTTGTGTTAGTATTTCTAAACAGTATGTAGAAATGTTATGTATTCTTTCAAACAATGTAAGGAATTTCATTTTATATTATTTATAACCTGCACCTTACTTTGCTTATCATTGTGTTTCTAAGTTCATCCCTGGGTACACACAAAGTGCTAATACATTCAGTTTCACTGGTGGTACAATATTCAGTTGTCTGAACACACCTCAACTTGTCTATTTTCTGTCTTGTCTCTTTGTCCGTTTTACTGTCAGAGTAAATAATACCATCTCTGTTAATACAAATTCCCAAAATCCACAATAAAATCTTTTGTATCATTCATGTGAAGTTCAAAGTTAATGCTTCTGGCTGGGGAACTCTCCTGCATGTGCTAACTCGGGATCTCAGATTTCTCCATCTTGCATGATTGTCATTTTCTAGGTCCTCCCCTGAGTTTCTAGTGGATCATCCAGCTGTCTACTAAGCTAGAAGGCAGGGTTGCACTGGATTTATTATTATTATTATTATTATTATTATTTATTTTTTGCTGGAAGGGAGTCGTTACTGTTGCCCACTTTGCATTGACCAAAACCTAGCCACAAGGCCCCCAAATTAACTGCAAGGGAACCTGGAAAACATAGTCTTGCTTTGTATTCAGGAAGGGAATGGGGAATTTTTAGTATCCCTGCCACATTGACTTGTAAGTTTATTTCAACTTTTTGCAGCTGTAAACAATGCCACTAAACTTTCAATTTTCTTGTTCATGTGGGTCTCAGTTTCTCTAGAGTATGTATGTATTAGTGGGATTGGGTCACAGGGTGTGTTAATGTTGCATTTTATTAGGTACTTTCAAGTTTTTCTCAAAGGTATTTATGCTAATTTAAGCTCCACCCTGCCGTATGGGTGCTTCGCTTTCTTGCCAACACTGAGTATTTGCCAAACCTTTAAATGTGGGGCACCAGCTGTTAAAAGGGAGATGACAAATGGCATGGCATTTGAAATGGAGGAAACTAGGATACTAAAAATATAGAATAGTGTATGTGGTAGACAGAATAATGACTCTTCAAATATGTCTACATCTCAATCCCCAGAACCACAGAACACATTCCTTTATATGACAAAAAGGATTTGCAGATATGATTAAGTTAAGGATCTTGAGATGCGGAGATTATCTTATATTAACTGAGTAGGCCCAACATGATCACACGGGAGTCCATATGAGAAGGAGGCAATAAGGTCAAATCAGAGGAGATGTGATGACAGAAGCTGAGGTTGGAGTGATGTGCTCTGAAGATGAGGGAAGAGGTCACAAGCCAAGGAATGTGGGTAGACTGTAGAGGCTGAAGAAGGCAAGGAAATGGATTCTGTCCTTGGGCCCTCAGAAAGAACCAGCTCTGCCAATACATTGATTTTCATGCATAAGACCCATTCTGTACTTCTGACATCCAGAACTATAAAATAATAAATTTATGTTGTCTTAAGTCATAAGTTTGTGGTGATTTATTATAGTAGCGATAGGAAATTAATATAATATGAATAATAATAGCTAGCATTTATTCAGTACACAGTCATGCTAGGTTCTCTTATCTGTGGCTCATTTAATGGATAACACACTCCTTAGTGTCACCATTTTAGAGCTGAGGATGCTGACTTAGAATTGGAGAGGACTTAGTGAAAAGAGAAGGTAGCTTTGCAAAGAGCTATCTCTTTGCAGGACAAACTCATTTTCGATGGGAAAGCCCACACAGTGACAGAGCTCTAAAATACAGTGAGTTACAGAAATAAGGGATATAGATATAGGAGGTAGGGTCTTTACGTTCTGTCCCTGGTTCTGGGAGGGTTCTCAAAGAGGTGACTTTTGACATAGGGCCTGAAAGATACAAATGCTCTGCCTTGTGTCTTGAAAGAAAAAGAAAATTCAAGATGCAGGAACTGGAGCAAAGCTGAGGCCTGGAAAGTTATTTTTACCACATCATTCTCTGATAATATTATAATTAAATACCATATCTACTGGCTGGGTACAGTGGCTCATGCCAGTAATCCCAGCACTTTGGGAGGCAGAGGCGGGCAGGTCACTTGAGGCCAGGAGTTCGAGACCAGCCTGGCCAACATGGTGAAACCCCATCTCTGCTAAAAATACAAAATAAATAAATAAATAAATAAATAAAATTAGCTGGGCATGTTGTTGCATGCCTGTAGTCCCAGCTGCTTGGGAGGCTGAGGCACAAGAATTGCTTGAACCCAGGAGGCAGAGGTTGCAGGGGGCTGAGATCATGCCACTGCACTCCAGCCTAGGCAACAGAGTGAAACCCTGTCTCAAAAACAGATGTAAAATCTTAGCTCCTCATCCATCTCTCTCCCTTAGCTATTAAACCATTAGTGTTTTCTTTGGTAGTGCTACTACCACAACTGAATAAAAAAGGATTTGCGTGAGAACTGCACCTGATTTTGATTGTTAGACTATTGAAAGAGTTCTGCAACCAACACCACTATCTAATTTTAGAACATTTTCTATAATCCCCAAAAGAAATTCTATGCCCATTATCAGAAACTTTCCACTCTCTCCTCCCCCAGGCCCCTGCAAAAACTAATCTTCTTTGTGTCTCCATGGATTTGCTTATTTGGGATACTTCTTATATGTGTAATTTATATCTAATATAAATGGAGTATGTGGTCTTTTGTGACTGGCTTCTTTCACATAGCACAATACTTTGAAAGTCCATCCATTTGCAGCATGTATCAGTATTTTGTTCCTTTTTATGGTGGAACAATATTCCATTGTGTGAATATACCACATCTTGTTTATCCATTCATCATTGATGAACATGTGAGTTGTTTTCACTTTTTGGCTTTTATGAATAATGCTTATTCTATGACCGCTTTGTATAAGTTTTTGTGTGAACGTAAGTTTTCAGTTTTCTTGAGTATATACCTTTAAGTGGAATTGCTATGTCGTAAGGTAGTTTTATGTTTAATTTTTTGAGGAACTGTCCTGTTTTCTAAAGTGACTGTACTTTAGACTCTCATTTTACATTCACCTGAGAGTTTTGATTTCTCCACATCCTTGTCAACACTTGTTATTATCTGACTATTCGATTCTAGCCATCCTAGTGAGTGTGAAGTGGTATCTCATTGTGGTTTTGATTTGCATTTCACTGATGACTAATGATGCGAAACATCTTTTTATGTGCTTATTGGCCATTTGTATTTTTTTGGGAAATATGTCTATTCACATTCTGTGTCCATTTTTAAATTGAGTTAATTGTGTTTTATTGTTGAGTTGTAAGAGTTTTTTATATTCTGGATACTAGACCATTATCAGATATAATATTAGCATTATTTTATCCCATTTTGTGGGTCACCTTTTCACACTGTTTTTTGATTGCTGTTTTTGTTTGTTTGTTGTTTTCTTTTAATAGAGACAAGGTCGCACTGTGTTGCCCAGGCTGGTCCTAAACTCCTGGCCTCAAGCAATCCTTCCACCTCAGCCTCCCAAAGTGCTGGGATTACAGACATGAGCCATCACACCTGGCCCACACTCTGGATAGTGTCCTTTGCATGAAAGTTTTAAATTTTGATGAAGCCAAAGTTATCATTTTTCTTCGGTTGCTTGCGCTTTAGGTGTTATAACTGAGGAACCACTGCCAAATTTGATGTCATGCAGATTTACCCTTATGTTTTCTTCTAAGAGTTATATAGCTTTAGCTTTTACATTTAGGTCTTTGATCTATTTTTAGTTAAATTTTGTATATTGTATGAGGTGGTATGGTCAAATTTATTCTTTTGTATGTGGATATTTAATTGTCTCAGCACCATTTGTTGAAAATATGATTTTTTCCCATGTATTGTCCTGGCACCTTTGTCATAAATCAACTGACCATAGATGTATGAATTTTTCTTGAACTCTTAGTTTTATTCCATTGATGTATATGTCTATCCTCTGTGCCTGATTTGAAAGATTACTTGAAGTGGTTGCTTGATGCATCTACATGGCTGATCTTGGAGAGTCAGTAAGTTTGAAAAGACACTTGAAAATCTGTATTTTATCATAAGCACTACCATGTGACTCTGGGGTCAATGTTGAGAAACTATGACAGCACCTCTCAGACTTCAAGGAACATACAGATCACTAGAGCGCTTGTTAAAATGTAAATTCTGATAGAGCAAGTCTGAATTAGGGCCTGAGATTCTACATTTCTAACAAGTTCTCAGGTAATGATGATGATCCACAGACTACACTGTTGGTGGCAAAGGGCTAGAAGGTCTCCCACCACAGCATGATCCCATGCCTTCCAGGTAGGCCTCTGGAGGAATCACTAGGCTTAAATGAATATTTGAATTTTCTTTCCCATGTTAATTGTTGCCTTTATTTACTTTTATGCCACTGAGAAAACCAACTTCTCCAGCTCATTTATGGTGCCTTACAAACCTGATTTGAGGGGATGGGTTTTTGAAAAGGCTTTAGGATTTTATTTCTGGATTTACAGAAAAAGACATGGAGTTAGGAGTGCTTGATGGAAAAGTGAATTTAATGGATTCTGAGTAATTTTCCTACTTATTTAAATTCTACTTGTTTCCAGAAGAGGTGTATTAGCAGGTTATTTTTCTCTTACAATGATACTTTAATGCAGATATATAATTGCATCATGTTTGCCTAAAAATTGGTTTAGATAAATCACAAGTGCCAGGTTACATCAGCTTTTCCAACATCCACTTGATCTACATTTATTTCAAAGGTTTGTTTAGAAGGCTGACATGTTCTTAGACTCTTCTTTTTCTGCTGTTTGCTTTCAGCAAGTCATTCCAATTATTTGCATATAAAATATCTCCATTTTCACATAGGGACCCTTATTTGTCCCTATATTCTCTCAGGAAAACTGCTATTTCTCAAGTACTTTGGTAGAGGATTGCCCTTTATAGTTCGCAAATGTGTGCTTGGATGTGCCCTTGCTTATCCTTCCATGCTTTCTGGGCTTGGCGTAGTAAGTGGTCATTGATTTTCTGTTCAAGGGGTTTTGTAGTTTCAGGCAACTGCAGCTGTTAATTCTGGATGTCAATTTCTAGTAAACCTACATTTATAAAATGAGCTACTCTTGTGCAGTGTTTGCTTTCATAACACTAGCCGTGTTCTGAGTTACAAGCACTTGTTTTTTTTCTTGTTTTTGTCCTTAATTGTTTTCTAAACATTTCCGGAAGCTTGGGTGTTCTTCAAATAATAGTGTCTTCAGGTTAGTTGTGATTTTCTGACTTGAAATATTTTTAGTGCAGCACCTTAGTGGCTCTGTACTTAGCTAGTATTTGAAGCATGGTTTGGAGCTTTTTTTTTCTTTAATTTGTACTAAATAGTGTTTTTGCTATTAGTAATTCATATATATATATATATATATATACACATACATATACAATAGTACAGAAGGGAATAAAATGAAAATTAAACCCCGTTTCTAGTTCTATTCCTTCTGTTGGTTGCCACTTAGCTTTAACCAATATTTTGGCATCTCTGTTTATTGACCGATGCAGTCTCTTCTTCAACCACTCCTAAAAATGGGGGATGCAGAACAATCACATCTCCTAACTTTCCCACCCCTGTCCAATGCCCAGTTTTTCTCTACTTCCTGAGATTATATTTTTCTTCCTTGTGATTTTAAAGTATGTGCTTACGTTCTTTTTCAAAGACTTTCAGAATTATTTTGAATGGGAAACATTCATATTCAAAACAATAAAAAATCAAAACACAAAAATGTATGCAGCAAGTCTCTTTACCTCTCTATGTAAGAAGTTAATGCCTCCAACAGATAATCAATGGTAATTATTTCTGGGGTTCCCTTTAAGATGCTTTCAATGCATAGGAAAGCAGATGTGTGCGCACACTACTTCCCTTCTCCCATATTTATAAAATGTCTGCGTTTATCATTGTTCATATGCCCTTCCAATCATCTTGCCGTCACTGTCTCTTCTTCCAATCACTGCAATGACCACTAGCCCATTAAGACCTCCAGCCATTGTCTCGTGAGTACAACCTAGCTAACCTCACATGATGCCTAAGCCATATGCCCTTTGCCTCCTGACCCAGATTGTCCTTGTTTCTAGCCAAAGCATGGGACTCCATGAGATCCCACTTATTGCCCACAAATGCACAACCCAGAAGTATGGGAAGTTCATGCCCTATCGGGCTAATCTGTGACCCAAGGGAAACAAAAGCCGGTTAAAAAAATTCTTGCTCTTTTACTTCCCCAGACTGACTGTCCTAAGAAGCATTTTTTATGGATTCTCAGAAGATGGTTCTTTGTGATCAAGCAAAATCAGCCAACCTTACTGGTGGCCAGCACCATAAAGCATTTTTGTATTGGCTCTGTTTGCTTCCTTGTTTTAGTCCCCATGTCTCTCACTCTTGCTTCCTGAAACTGTACTCCCAGATAAAGTAGCAATACATGAAGCGCCATGCCCTTTTCCTAGTTACTTTTATATGTGGAATTAATTTTAATGTATCTCAAGCTATTTGGGATTGAGATAATTTAACTCATGCTGGCTTTTCTTACTAGAATGAATTAATAAATTTTTATATACTGAAATGTTGAATTACAAATCTTGCCAATATCACATTTAATTAAATGAATTTGAAATCATGATGGAGATGGAGATAGAAAGAAAATTTTAGTTTTTCTTCGTGACAGAAATAGTTTACCTGGTAATATTATATATTCTATAAATATAAAAGTCTATTAAAGTCTATTAAAAGCTCCATATGAACAGAAGATTTATATGTATAAGTGTATGTGTGTGTGTATATCTATAATATAATGTATATATATGTTTATATATATATACAAGTCTCACAGTTCCATAAGAACAGAATATTTCTAAGCAAAGCAAATTTCTAGACAAACTTCTTAGATAGTTTATTAGTCACTTGGGAAAAAAAATCTATAAAACAGTTTCATAAGAACCAGATTTAAATATATTTATATCTATATAAATATTTTGACATTGAAGGAATTAGCTGTGTGTGCTATGCCTAATATTTTCCCCCATGGCTAGTAAATATTTGTAGATAGTGTCCCTTTTCTCCTTGTAGGTTACAGTGAAGGGGAAGAGTGACCCACTAAATTACCCCAGCCATGACCTGAAAAAGTTACATGGGAGGTTTTCATCATTTGTTTTCTCATAGGGACAACAGTAATATTGAAGTAGGAAACCTCTATGTCTTCTATTGTTTACTGATTCCATATCTTACTGTAAAATAAAAGCATGTGAGAGTGAACTGGAGATCTAGATATCCCCTTTAACTTGCCTGAACTGTTGTTAGAAGACTTTTCAAACTCTCCTGCAGTCTTTGAATTTTCAGAAGATGCCTTTATATTTATTTCTTTCACTAGTTAGCTCTCGGTGGTGTCTGTGGCATCTTAGCTCTCAATGGTGTCTGTCCGTCTGGAGCTGGGAATGTGATGGAGAATCTCTAACTCCTTAGTTGGGGGAGATTTGTAGATGAGAGAGGCCAGTTAGTCATGTTTGTGATGTTGGGTTAATCTCTTTAGGAAAAGAGCAGGCTGGCAGCAGGTTGATGTTTGCAACTTTGATTTACTTCTTGGAAAGTAGATTGTGGAGGTAACAAAGGTTGTTAGGCCATAATCAGTCATTTCGTCAGCCATGGAGAAGTTGGAAGTAAATCTACCAAAACAGTCACAATGAACTGCATTATTGTAAATTCAAACAGTAGTACCAGTGTTACACATTAATTTTTCTACTTACTGGTAATATTTATCATTCTGTCAAAACTTGTCCTGCTGTAAGAATATTGAGAACTAAAAAGTCTCTAAGTACATTCTTCTTGTCATCCCACAGGCATGAAGTTCAAATAGATGTCAAATGCCACAATAAATGGTCATAAATTTAAAAGATTTTTTGATAGTGGTTGGCTAATAAAGTCAAAGTTTAACAAACAAAAGTGACCTTTATGCTTGAAGCTAAATGAGAATATCAAATCATTTGGTTGGAAAAACAGGCTGTGATAGAAATTTCAATAGAAGAAACAGATAAAATGAGTTATCTCTATGAAAATGAAGCTTAGAATCCTCAAAGCGTCATGAATCTCAAAGTTAGAGAAGAAGGTGAAGATCGTTGTTCTAGTGCTCAGCTAATATCATTCAACCTTGGCTAAGAAGCCTAAAGGATTAGCGAAGACAGTTCTATTTTATTAGGAAGGGTTTTTATAGATTGTAATAAAACTTGTCTTCTTATAAATTCTACACTTGAATCTTTTAGAAAATTATGATGAAGAAGACTACACTATCTTTCATTTGTCAACTATACAGATATTTCTTTTTCTTTCTTTCATTTTTTTTTTTTTTTTTTTTTTTTTTTGGAGACAGAGTCTCACTCTATTACAGGCTGGAGTGCAGTGGTGTGGTCTTGGCTCACAACAACTTCCACTTCCTGGGCTCAAGCAATCCTCCCACCTCAGCCTCCAGAGTAGCTGTGACTATAGGCGCACACCATCACACTCAGCTAATGTAAACATTTTTTTTTGTAACAGATATTTCTTTATGGGTGTCATGCTGCTCTCTCATTTCTTTATTCTCTTCCTTTCACAAAAGTCTATATTCTAGGCCAAATATTCCCAAAACATTCAATTATACCTCATGTTCAGTGGCTGCAGAAAGGCACATTATCATTAGAGTAGAATTTTAGATTATAAATCTCTGTCTCACACTGTGGTATCCAGAACTGAATATAAGACCCATAGAAATCTTCCCAGGACAGAAGTGAATGGAAATATCACTGATATTCAACCACACACACATTCTTATTAATGGAGCTATAATCATACCATAGACTTGTTGCATGTTCCAGTTAAAACTCTTCTGGTCCTTTTCTTACATGTTGTTGAGAAGTAGCTCTATCCTTTTCATGTACATTTCATTTTAGGGACATAAGTTCAATAAAAGATAAGCAAACAAATAACAACACAAAAACAACCCAAAGATACGATTGTCACCTATTAAGTGGACAGCAGTGAAAAAAGTTGTTGGGTAAGCATACATTACAGTGGGCCTCTTTTGCCCTATGGATGACTTTGTAAAGTGTTTGGAAGGCCATTGTGCAATATGTATTACAGTTTAAAATTGCACACCTTTTATTCAAGAATCATACTTTTTAGAATGTATTTTTTCTAAAAGTGGCTGAGATAGATATCTATAAAGGATGACTTCACTACTTATCTAGTTTTTATTCCATGGATCATCAGTATAATCATGGTCTTGCAAATACTTTTTAATTCTTTCCTTTCCCTTCTTTGCATTTATGCAAAGCTCTCCCTAGATTTATGATTCTCAAACGTTTAAGATCCATCAGAATCACCTGAATGGTGAATCTTGTTAAAAAATATTGCTGTGTCCTATACCCAGGTATTCTGATATTAGTAGATCTGGGGTGGGGCCCAAGAATTACCATTTTTAGTAAGTTACCAGCTGAGGCTGATGCTGCTGGTCCAGTGACTGTGCTTTGAGAACCATCATCCTTGATGAACCCAGCCACTCATGATTGTTGCTTGCAAGAGTCACTTGGCAGATTGATCTCACTACAAATTCACGAGCCCCAAATTTAAATGTACATAAAACACTACCTGGAAATTCTAGGAAGCTACTTTTTCCATTGTCTGCAAATAATTTTATATCTTGCCTTTCCTCTTCAAACTTACCTGTTCTTCTCACATGCACTAACTGCACAGGCTTTAAGCTGATGACTTGCCTCATGCTTTTTTGAGAAAACAGAAACCACCAGAGGGAAGATTCCCGACATCTTCTTATCACAAATCTGTAAATCAGCTGGTGTCTGAATCCTGTTTTCTCCTTCTGCCTTTTCTTTCCTGGAGAAAGTCAAAGGCCAACCCTGTACTTTGAATCCTGTACAGTCTAACCTCTACATTCAGTAGTTTGCATGTTTATTCCCCTCTCACCATACTGAATTATTCCCATTAATACACAAATTTGCTCTAGGATTTCCCATCTTTACATTACACACGTAGCAATAGCTATGAACCATTTTTTTTACCCCATAACTCATACAGTTACTCTACTTTTTCTGCAACCTTGCAAAGTCAAACTTCTCCTAAGAATTGTCTTCCTATATTTTCTATTCCCTAATAACTGGTAAACCCATTCCAATCTTGTTTTGGCCCCCACATTGCCACTGAAGTAGATTTTCCTTTGGACTCCCAACCCCTCAGTCTAACAGAGTTCTTAGTCCTCCTTTGTGTAACATATGCCACAGCTAATAGTTCTACTGGCTTCTTTTCCAGAACAGCCTTCTCTAAATGGTCTCTACAGGTTGGGGTACTTCTCTTCTCTCAACCTACTTTTCCCATGTAGTCTTATTCATCTCTCTCTGGATGATATAGAACCATTCATATACTGATGAATCCTTTATTTTATATCTAGCACAAACCTTTATGCTGAGATCCAGACCCTAATATACACAGGTGCCTAATTGGCATCTCCACTTGGTTGTCCAAAAGGCAACCCAAAACTGACATATCCAAAGTGGAACTCTAAATTTTCTCATAAGTCAGTTCATCTCCTCTCCTTCTCCCATTTTATTTTATTTTATTTTTTCTTTTTTTTTTCTTGTGCTCTTATTTTTATATACGAATATTTTTTATTATACTTTAAGTTCTAGGGTACATGTGCACAACGGGCAAGTTTGTTACCTATGCATACATGTGCCGTGTTGGTGTGCTGCACCCATTAACTCGTCATTTACATTAGGTATGTCTCCTAATGCTATCCCTCCGCCCTCCCCCCACCCCACAACAGGCCCCAGTGTGTGATGTTCCCCTTCCTGTGTCCAAGTGTCCTCATTGTTCAATTCCCGCCTATGAATGAGGACATGTGGTGTTTGGTTTTTTGTCCTTGCGATAGTTTGCTGAGAATGATGGTTTCCAGCTTCATCCATGTCCCTACAAAGGACATGAACTCATCATTTTTTATGGCATTCTACTCATCTGACAAGGGGCTAATATCCACAATCTACAAAGAACACAAACAAATTTACAAGAAAAAAACAAACAACCCCATCAAAAAGTGGGTGAAGGATATGAACAGACACTTCTCAAAAGAAGACATTTATGCAGCCAACAGACACATGAAAAAATGCTCATCATCACTGGCCATCAGAGAAACGCAAATCAAAACCACAATGAGATACCATCTCACACCAGTTAGAATGGTGATCATTAAAAAGTCAGGAAACAACAGGTGCTGGAGAAGATGTGGAGAAATAGGAACACTTTTACACTGTTGGTGGGACTGTAAACTAGTTCAACCATTGTGGAAGACAGTGTGGCGATTCCTCAGGGATCTAGAACTAGAAATACCATTTGACCCAGCCATCCCATTACTGGGTATATGCCCAAAGGAATATAAATCATGCTCCTTCTCTGATTTTAGAAAAAGGTGCTACCTAGTTGCTAACAGTCTGGAAGGAGTCATTTGACAATTCCCCATCTCATCTGCTATATCGAATCTATCACCAAATTTTGACTGTAGTCTTTGATCTTCCACACATTTCCATTTCCACTGCCCCAACTCTAGACCAAGCCCCACCACTGTCACTTGCCTGTTTCCTGTGATAACCCCAACAACTTTCCTTGCTGGCCTTTCTTCAATCCTTTTTTCCTGCAGCAGTAAGAGTGATCGTTCAAAAATGCAAATCTGATGGTCACCTTCACTTAGTAATTTCCTACTACATTTGGAATAAAATTTAAACTTTTCATTTAGCATCTTACAAGATCTATTAATCTTCCACCTCTCCAGCCTAGCCTTGGGCTACATGCTATATACAATAGCCATGTCCCATGTCTTCCAATTTCCTGGAAGCAAAGTCTCTCTTGGGGCCATTTGTGTCTGTTGTTCCCTTTGCTTTGATGCCTCCCATCTCTTTGCAGCCTGGCTTTTTTTCATCTTTTAGTTCCCAAATTATCAGTTACATCCTCAGAGGGACCTTCCTACCCATCCAATAGAAGCCTCTTCTGTTGTTCCCTCTGTTCTTCTCCCTCATATTGCAAATTATTATTGAAATGATATGTTCATTTTTGCTTTTTTGCTTATCTGTCTCTTCTAGTAGATCTAAGAGTTCATTAACTGTCTGAGGTTAGAGATCTTAGCTGTTTTGTTAATGTCTAAATTCCCAGTCTGGCTCATTGTATGGCAAATGGTATTTGTTGGGGGACTGAATAATATTTATTAGAGCATTCCTGTTAACAGTGTAAAATCAGGCTATAGTGTAAAGGTCCATCAATTTAATGATTAAGTTATAGGACGATCCATTGTAAAGAAAAAAGTAAATTTATATATGCTGATATGGACATATATTTAATAAATATTAAGTGGAAAAAAGCAAATTGCTAAACCTCATATAGAATAATACCATTTTTCTTAAGTATATTTCCATATTTATATCTGCATGTTTCTTTCTCTCTCTTCCTCTCTCCCTCTGTGAGTTTCCAGGATTTCTACTGGGACTTTTTCCAGGTAATGGCAATACAGAGTGACAAGAATTTATTTTATTTTACTCTTTCTGAACTATTGGATTTTTAAATTTTTATAAGTTCCATGTATTCCTTTTATAACATCCTCCTTCAAAAGCATGAAGAAGATTTAAAGTGTAATACAAAACATTACGTATGTTCATTCACTCCACAAATTTTATTCAACATCTACTATATACCATGTACTGCTAGAAGCTGCACATATAGTGAGATCCATTTATTGTATATAATTGGGTGTCAACAAAAGATAATTTTATGAGGGTTTGTTTCTGGCAGTGGTGAGATTATGGTTGGATTTCATTGCACCTTCTCATTTTCAAATTTTTGATGGTAAACATAACTTTGAAATTACAAAAGTTATTTTTAAAGACATTTAAATATTTACATGGAAAAATGCTCAATCATTTTAGAACAATTTACTTGGACAGGTGAATACTTTTCAATTTAATGGAAAAATAATTGTATAAGTGCCTTTTGTATAGATGCAATTATTAAAATATGTGTAGCACATATAGCTTAGAAAGTTTATAAATAGGTAGTTGTTTCCAGTAGGAAACAGGATACTCAATCTTTCTTTTCTTTGCCTATAGACTGATTTCTTCAACATGGCCTACTAATGTGTTCCTCTTGGAAAATGAGTACCTAGGAGAGATTCAAGGTTCTTGTTAATGAGTTAATATTTGTAACATATGCCTGAGGGTATTTATGGAAACCATGTATTGGATCCAGAAGGGCAAAACTCTCCGGGTGGTGGAAGCTGAGTTGTAAGCAGTGTGTGTTGAGAGGAGGCCTAGGGGATACAGACTGTCATAGCTTCATGAGAAAAAAAAATTAAAATGTGCTGTAGGAAAGGGAATGAGAGTGAGAAGAAAAGCCATCCAGGGGATCTCATATACTGAAGATATGGTTTTTCTTTCGTCGAATGTATGATACTTGGAGGAACAAAGAAAGATAATATCAGATTTGAGAACTGTTGCCTTAAAAAAAAGATAAAATGCTGACTTTCTGCAAATATCTTTATGACCAACTTTCCAAAAACAGGGAAACTCAATGTGCCTATGTTTTTTCCTCTGGTTTCTTAATTCCTTGATGTTCTCATTTCCAGTGACCTTTTTAGACCCTCCCAAGGTCACATGTTGGATGCTATTGTAACCAGAAGTACCACCATGTCCAACATCACAGTGCATATGTCTTGCTCTCTAACTAAATGTTCTAACTCATCTGCTTATTTTCTCCTATAAGCAGCATTTCTCCTTCATCAAGACCACCAGTCTGCTAACCCACATTTTCTCTCTATTCTTTAGCCTTGTCCTATTAGTCTTTATTGCTTATGCAGAGAGATTCAATGATTTATATCCACTTTCCAGCTCCTCCATCAATTCTTGCCTTTTTTGCTTGTTTTAAATTTTTTAAATTTTTCTTTAAGTTCTGAGCTACATGTGCAGAATGTGCAGGTTTGTTACATAGGTATATATGTGCCATAGTGGTTTGCTGTACCTATCAACCTGTCATCTAGGTTTTAAGCCCCACATGCATTAGGTATCTGTTCTAATGCTCTCCCTCCCCTTGCCCCCACCCCCCAACATGACCCAGTGTGTGTTGTTCCCCTCCCTATGTCCATGTGTTCTCATTGTTCAACTCCCACTTATGAATGAGAACATGCGGTGTTTGCTCTTCTGTTCCTGTGTTAGTTCGCTGAGAATGATGGCTTCCAGCTTCATCCATGTCCCTGCAAAGGACATGATCTTATTCATTTTTATGGCTGCATAGTATTCCATGGTGTATATGTGCCACATTTTCTTTATCCAGTCTATCTTTGATGGGCATCTGGATTGGTTCCAAGTCTTTGCTATTGTAAATAGTGCTGCAGTAAACATATGTGTGCATGTGTCTTTATAGTAAAATGATTTATAATCCTTTGGGTATATACTCAGTAATGGGATTTCTGGGTCAAATGGTATTTCCGGTTCTAGATCTTTGAGGAATTGCCACACTGTCTTCCACAATGGTTGGACTAATTTACACTCATCAACAGTGTAAAAGTGTTCCTATTTCTCCATAACCTCACCAACATCTATTGTTTCCTGACTTTTTAATAATCATCATTCTGACTGGCATGAGATGGCATCTTATTATGATTTTGATTTGCATTTATCTAATGATCAGTGATGATGAGTTTTTTTTTCATATGTTTATTGGCCACATAAATGTTTTCTTTTGAGACAGGTCTGTTCAAACAACCCCATCAAAAAGTGGGCAAAGGATATGAATTCTTGTCTTTTTCTCCCTCTGGAACTTGTTTCACAATTCTAGAACACTCTGAGTCAGCTCTCTTTCCACCTTAACTGACCAACCTATAGGTAACCTATTGGTATAGGTAGTCTGCCCAGTAGGCTACTTTGTAACAGCATACATTGATACTATTTACAAAATTTTATCTTTTTAAAACATGTATGTGTTTACCAATTTGTTTTATACTTCTGCTATGAAACAGTGAGATTCATAAAGTCAATAATATAGTTCATATCTCCAGGAAGTTAGCACAGTATCTTTTGCAGCGTGGATGCTTAAATGATGGGTGAATAAATGGATAAAGTCAGCTCCAAAGAAAGAACTGAGAGGTAGAGGGAGTGACCAGTGTATTGATGTGATACATAAACTCTTCTGCCCACATGGGAAAAAAATGGCATCCTGGTTAGGCTGTGCAATTGATGAGTCGCTATCAGTTATTAGAAAAAAACCTTTCCCACCTAAGTTTTCAAAGTATTCTGCTGAGGCAGTAGAGCGAACTTGACTTAGTCCCTTTTCTCTAAACGAGCATCATCTCAGTTGCCTGCCTGTCTGCCTGCCTGTTCGCTTTCTGCCAGAACGTTTGATTGATTGAGTCATATCCTTGCTTCATTCCTAGAAGGATTCCAGGTGCCAACTTCCACTTGATCCGAGGTTAAATATATCTCCTGTAACCTAGGAATCTCTCAGTCTTGCTTTCTGCTGCTGGAGAATACTACCATAACATGTAGTAAAATATAAATGGAATATCAGTCATCTCTGAAATGGTAATATATTCTCCAGCTTTCTATTCAAATATTTTTCTTTGAGCTTCTTTCTTTGGAGTCTGTTGTTAGATATTCTCAAAAGGATTGTCTCCACTTAAGTTTCTTGAAAATTAAATTGTAGATGTGTTCAGAGATGTGTCTGCCATAAGTTACTGTCCCACTTAAAAAGTTCCTGGCAATTTTTGGATATTTCCTCATGTGAAAATAACTCCTGATACTGTCATGGACTGGGGAGTATAATTCCTGCAAACAGCACTTCTGAAAAGCACTTGGCTCTTGGCTCTGTTGTAGAACGATTATGACTTCTTGACATAAAATGTGTTTTTAATCTAGAGGCCAGGGCCAGAGATTTGCTCACCATGATTACCAAACTTCTCCCGCAACCCTTAGACATGGTATCTTAGATTGTATGACTTTCTGCTTCTGTTTTTCTTTAGTGAGAGATGGTTACTTGGAATGATCCTTTAAATATTCAACACATCTTCATTGATTTCCCCTGCTAATGTGAAGATGTTAAAAACATTTTCTTACATTGTTAGCTCATTTATTTATTTATCTGCCTAATAAAAAAGTATAGCATGCACTGCATGCAGGGGGGATCAAAATAGTCATTGAGTCACCCCTCAAGGTGCTTACAGTCTGGTAGGGGAGAAAGGCAGGCAATAAATAAGAACAATGATATGGCAGAAATTCTCAGATCAGGAGGGAAGAGGGTGTTCTATCTGTGAAGGAGGTACAGGCAGAAGAAATTCCATAAATGAGGTTTCACATGGATTTAGTTCTCAAAGACAAAGTCTTGCAAAGACTTGGGAGGAAGCCATTTCAGCTGGAGTCAGCAGTTTGAATGAAGCCCTGGAGGTGTGACCCAATCAACAGGGAGGTGTCCCTGGGACTGTTGCCTCTATGAGGCTCATGGGTCACCCACCGGATGCCTTTTTAAAGGAGTCCTTCTTTGCTTTATCACCAGCCCATTGGCCTTAGCTATAAAGCAGATTTATGCAAAGTAATTATAATAGAGCAGTTTGGTTTGAGCTATATTTTCTAAAAGGATTGGTGAATCACCAGTGCCTGAATTATTTACTGCTCTCATTGAGAGTCAGGTCCAAATCCAGCCTGATGCACAGGTGGGAAAAGAAGGACTCAGTGGTCAGAGAAAAGTCATCAGAGAGATGAAGGGGCCAGCACTTGGAAGTCTTATATAGGTCAAGCAGTAAAGACATTGTCGGGTGAGGGGTGGATGTGGCACACGGCACACACCTGCCCTGTTGGCACTTGTCAGAAAGGCAGGAATCAAAGTTGTGCCCAAGGTCCTGCTTTGGGTGACTGGGTGAGTGGTGGGTCTTTTCCTACAACTTCAAATGGAAGAGAAGGTGGAACATATTTGTGAGGACAGACAAGGAGTTCAATTGTAGACAGACATGTGGACTGTGAGGTGCCCAAAGACACCCTGCTAGGTCTTTCCAGGAAGCAGGGATTTTGGAGTGTATGCCCAGGGCTTAAAGGTGATATCTAGCCTAAAACTTAACATTTCTAAGTCGTCTACATGTGAGTTGTGACTAAAGGTGGTGAATGAATATGCTACACAATGAGAAGAGAAAGGTGAGAGAAATGACGCTGAATATTGGACTTTACTGCCATGTAAGGAGAAGGCAAATGAAACAGGGACTGAAAGCTGATGTCTATGAAGTAGGAGCAGAAACAGGAGAAGGAAGGTCATGGAAGCCAAGGAATGTAACCCATTCCCAACACCCATTCCCCGTGATGTGGAGAGGCCACGGAAGATGAGGACCAGATCTCATTACAAGAGTGTATGGTACAGAGTGAGATATCTCCACAAATGCCTAGTACCTTTCCCCTTTCATCACTTTTTATTCAAGATCAAAGTATAAAATAACCAAATTCAACTGGGTGCAGTGGCTCACACCTGCCATCCCAGCACTTTGGGAGGCCGAGATGGGAAGATCACTTGAGGCCAGAAGTTTGATACCAACCTAGGAAACCTGAAGATACCCTGTCTACAAAAAATAAAAAATTAGGTGTTGTGTTGTACACCTGTAGTCCCAGCTACTAAGGAGGGTGAGGTGGGAGGATCACTTGAGCCCAGGAGTTGGATGCTGCAGTGAGCTATGACCATGCCACTGTACTACAGCCTGGTCAACAGAGTTAGACCCTGTCTCTAAAATAATAAAAATCAAATTCAACTCTTTATAAGTTGGCTTTTTTTAAGAGATCATTCTACCTTTGTGTAATGTCCCCAGCCCAAACTTTCTATCCTCGCATTCCCCTGGGCCTTGGAATGGTTTTCCCTCTCCCCTCTTTTCCTCTTTTCATGTGTTATCTCAAAATTTAACTTTTCTGGGGCCCCTTTATACTGTTTGCTCTCTGACAAGCAAACAAATCTGATTAATTTGTTTACATAAGATGCTATACCTTAATTATGGCATAGTGTGTCTTCAGCACCAATAAGGTTTGTATTGTAACCTTGATTCTGAAAGTCTTGAGATAAAGCAGTAGATTGCAGGAACTTCAAACACAATAGCAGGACCCGTAGAGGAAGTTTTAGGGGTACAGCTTCCTTTGCCTCTGCATAAAGCAGGCTCTTTGGGCTGTCATGGAAAAGCTGTTTGGGAAATGGGGTAGATGATGCTGGAGAATGAAGCTCCTTAAACTAAATTCTGCCAGCTCCCTCCTCAATGTCTTCAAGCATTTGCTCATTCATTTACTTGCAGCTTGGGCGTAAAAAGGCCCCTCCTTTCCTGACCTGCATCAGCATCTTTTTGCAATCCCCTGTGGTTAGAATTAGGGGAAAATGAGCCACTTCATTTTGTTGGTATCATTCCTGGGGCAATTTTTGACTGATGCCAACCCATATGGTGATCAAGAGTGACTTTGTAACCATCACTGGAGGTTAAGGGAGAAGGGATGCTTTATTTCAGCTTCTCCTAGAATGTCAGCAAGAAATTCAGGAGACAGTTTGTCTGCCCCCAAACTCCTGGTCTTTCCCATCTTCCCCAGACCATCATATGTGGAACCAGGGAAAAGGATCCAGGTCTGGAACCAGCAATGTCCATTAAGTGTTGTGGACCCTTCCTGGTCTGAAATAGGTCTAGCTTGTAGTGCTCTTGAGGTCGCCTCTAATACTGACTCTTAATAATGGAAAAAGTAAACACTGTATACAAGCAATGTTTTTAGAAAAATTAGAAAAGAATGGCTTAATGGAAACTTTTTTTTTCATTGAAATAATTGAGAGTTTAAGTGAGTTTTTAAAGTTAAAGTATAAATGCTGACACCTTGAAGAGCCGAGCCTAGTTTTTCACTTTGAATTGCGAGGGCATCTGGTGTGTGTTCTGAAAGGGAGAGCAGTTTGATAGCCATCTGTCCCCAAGAAAAATTCAGATTTGGAAGTAAGATGAAACAAGAATGACACCTGCTTAAGCCAAGAGTTGTGAATAAGACATAACTTCTGCTACATACAGTATTTTTTAAAGAAGAAAGAAAACCCACCAATTAGAGATCTTACAGAAATGTTCAGATGTACTTGAGTCACCAAGGGCTTGCCTTTCTGGCAGCCAGTACAAACTTCTACAAAGGATTGATTTACCCCAAATGGCATACTGAGAACTTCCCATAGAGCTCAGCTAGGAACCCTCTTCACACCTTCCAGTGGAGGGAGGGACTCCCATATTCCAATAGTTGTATCTTTGCAAGTAAACCCAGACATCTTTGTGGATAGTGACTGGTCTTTATTCACCTGCATAGCCTTAGTGTGTTTGATGGTTGTTGAAAGCTCTAAGACCTGAAATTCACCAACATGTCTGTGTTCCCAGCTGCTTGGCTCAAGGTAAGTTTTACCCCCCTGGGTTTAAATACTAGTCTCTCTGCTTCTTGGAGGTGGGGGTAAAACTCTAGGATTAAGCTGAATCTTGGAACCCCTTTGTTATCCAAGACAAGAAGAATAGGAAGAGGGTCTTTCTGTGACCAATAGAGTTATAGATAAAATTGTGTCCACATATCCAGTTTAAACAAACATGAAAGTACAACAGTGGCTTGGATATGACCAGAAAATACAAAAAGACAAGGCACTGTATGTGATGCTGTTTTTTGCAAGGTGATAACCAGGTGTATCTCTGCTCTTCATCTGCCAAACAATACCTTTTATAGAAGAGATTTTACCTTCCAGTTCTAACACTGTAGGGCTTCTCTCCTCTTTTCATCATATTCCCTCTTTGGAATTTAATACAGTTGAAGAGGGTTAGCTGTTTAGAATCTGGGTGGTAACGGGGATGGATTTCATCCTGACCTCAATTTAAAGCTTATCTGGATCTGTAATGACTTGAGTATGTGCCCTGACAAGTCTTTGGAAACCTGTCAGAATGAGGTATCAATAAAGAGACCAGGCATCTAGTGTGACCAAACACTCATCAATGATAGGTTCTTGCCTTGTTACTGGAGATACATTTGCTGTGCTTCCCTGGTTGAGATGTCTGTGTATTTCTTAGTTTAATGTGTCTAGGATTTTCTGCACATTACATTGAAGCTGTTACTATAGTCATCTATGACCATCATTGGTATAAAATCACATTGAACAAAGTCAATGCTTTCTTTAATTTGTTTCTGTTTAGAGAAAACAAAGAAAATATTGTGGCTTTTTCCCCCTATCAACAGCACTAGCTTTTGTTTATTCAATTGTATATGGGTACTCACACATACCCCCCCCAACACACACAGACACATGGGCTGGAGACAGCTAATTTTTAGCTATTATTAAAATTAAATTATGTAAACATACAATTAAATAAGTTTTGTTATAAAACAAAGAAATAAACACTCAAAAGTCACCACTTCCTCATTATTTTACTGCATTTTACTATTATCTGTGATTGTGTGGTTATTTATATCTATTGCACCTGTATGAGGGAAACACTGTACCATGGTGTCTACTGCATATCTATTCCCAAATCTGCACTTAGCAGTATCAAGAATTTTTTTTTGGAAAGCCAGTAGTTAAACATTTACCAGCACACCACTGTAAATGTATACACATACACACACACACACACACACACACACACACACACACATCCTTTTCATAGCCATGCAGAGTAAGCGTCAGTTTTTCTATTTTATAGATGAAAAACTGAGGCTTAGAGAGTTTAACTTACCCAAGAGACCACTCCCATGCTTTAGCTCTCCTACTCTAAAAATATAAAATAAGAAGCCCAGGGAATGCTTAAGGATGACTGAAGCTGTATTGGGATATAAT
Organism: Homo sapiens; assembly: GCF_000001405.40. NCBI lineage: Eukaryota > Metazoa > Chordata > Mammalia > Primates > Hominidae > Homo > Homo sapiens. Next base: position 9,787,437 of record NC_000020.11, on the reverse strand, counting down.
TTAAAAGCAGAGGTTTGCTAGAAGTGAGAGCAAGAGAACCATGTGGAAATCTAGACAAGCACTCCAGGCACAGGGTGCCACCAGTGCAAAGACCTGGAGGTGGGATTGTTTTGCTGCTTCTGAGGATAGTAAGGGTACTACTGGAGCTGGAATAGAAAGAGGGAGAGGGACAATAGGAAGAAGTGAGACAAGTAGGGCATGATCACTAACTACCTTTATGAAACCAGGCAAGTAACTTGACCCCTCTATGCTTTATTTCTCTTATCTGCAGAATGTTTCACTTCATGCTCATGGTAAGAGTATATGTGAATTTACTGTGCTTTAGTTAAATTATTGTTACTAAAGCTAAACCATCACTGTTGCCTTACTAGTGCTTAAATATAATTTTAAGGAAGAATAATTTTTTCTTGCCATCTTCAGCAGCTGCATGAGGAGTGATTCAGAAATACTTAAATTTATCCCTTGCAAGTACCTATTAGCCTATTTTAAATCTATTTAAAATCCACAGTGCAATGCAGTTTAAATTCATCTGGGATTAATAGGACTTGCCTTTAGCTATATTACTGATGGCATGATAGAATCTCAACAGGAAACTTTTGTGACATTTTTCAAATGTCCAGTCTGATGGATTATACAAGACTAAAAAAGTATTGAAACACATTCTGTATTTTGAAAACCCAAGAGTTCGATTTTAACAGTCTTCACTTATCCATAAAACAGATTACCATGTCCTCTTATCCACATATCAATTATATAGGTGTATCTTAGAGTATATTTAAATAACGGTATGACATAAAATCATGAGCTTCTGTGGCTTTGATAACTTTCAGTTTCTTCTTAAATGATGTGTTCACTTTATCAAAATTGATCAGGCTGTACACTTAGGTTTTATGAACTTTTCTGTACATGTGCTATACTGCATTTTTAATAAATTTTTTCTTAAAAGAGTGAGTAGGGCTTTGAGAAAGGGGAAAGTGTTTGCTCTCCTGGATCAAGGAAGCAAGGTACAAGATGAGATGAGGCCAGTGTTAGAATGAACATGGCATGTGTGTGTCACAGCCAGGACACAAATCATCCACGACATGTAAATGTTTGTTGAGCACTTCCTGGGGGCCAGTATGGAAGATACTGTGAACTGGGTACCCTAAAATCATTCACAGCCTACTTCTTCCTTGAAAGCTCAAATACTCAACTTCCCAGCCTCCCTTCCAGCTGGGCATGGGAATGTGAAGTTGTTGAATGTGCTTCTGGAAAAGCCTCTTAAAAAGGGACACTCAATGAATATACCCCTTAATTATTTCATCTTTTGCTTTTTGCTGTCTTCATCCTGCTGGAATCAGGCTGTGATTCCCGGAAGCAGGTCAGCCGTCTTTCAACCATGACATGACAAGCATCAGGACAAAGGCTTATGTACTAAGAATGGAAGATGGACAGATGGGAAGCGTGAAGCCCCCTAGAGCAGTGCCTCTGATTGGTTGGGTGTCTGACTGATAGGCAGGTGGGGAGGGTCAAGGATATGTGGGTCAGTCTATTCTAGGACACTACTTTTCTGACCTTGAGGCTGCCCAAAAAATTGCCCTTTGGGAATTTTGACATCATCTACAGACATGCCACTTTAACAATTATTTGTTTGTTTTGACATACTGGACATATTCTTGCAAGGGACAACACATGATGAAATTAATCAAAGTTTTGTTGGTTGCCAACTTTTTCAAAGTTACTAGCAGAAGGTCTTCACAAATACAAATACTTTCCTCTCCTATGCCTTAGACATTTTTTTCCCCTCTAAGATGGTAATCTTATGTCATCCTCATCTTTGAGCAATTCTCTGTAAAATGAAACCTTTGCAACATTTCCATATCTAGAGATACCACTTTATCTTCACTTGGAGACTTGATAATTTTCCAAGGAGATACGCTCAGAGGGAAATACAAAGAGTGGAAAAGAATTTGTTAACTTGAAAAGTTGGCAAAACAGATGTGCTGTGATTCTTTCAGTTGAGCTAGCACATTTCATCATAGCCATTTTGAAATATAACATTAAAATTCTGTGCTCAATGTCCCTTATCACCAAACCTTTTGTTTCTGTTTGCATTTTGTTGTTGTAATCATACACGTCATAAATGAGTATACTAAGGCAAGTGATAATGTGTATAATAAAATGTAGTCAATACTAATTTGCCACCTTTGGGGAGAAAAATGACTTCCATCTGCATGATAACTATGGAATAAATATTCTACATCCTTACCTAAAATAATGTATTAATGTCAAGAATTCTTACGATGAGCATAGGCTATAGACCAGAAAAATAGCCAGGGGTTATGATATTTGATTAAAGTTTTAACTTGATACAAGTTAAAACTTGTATCTTGGCTTTTAAAAGCCAAAAGATACACTGAAAATTGAATTGAATCTAGTATAATATGACGGCTTACTGAAATTATTGGAAAGGAGGTACTATATTAAAATAAAGGAAATGTCTTCCTTTGAGACTAAACTGCCATTTTGTTCAATTTGATACACACTTTATCCACCTATTTCTTTATTTGCCTGCAAAGAGTAAGAGCTTAGGTAAGGCAGACTGCGAAATTCAAAGCAACAGTGTGGCTACATGTGTTGTTTTTTTTTTCTTTTTTTACTTCTTCTCTTGTTTTTTGCATGTGATCCTGCCTTTCACTTCACAGAGAATACGATCCATCTATGTCTGATGTCTTCCCTTCCTCCTGCAATGAGGTTCCTATATTAATACTATCAAACCTCCTGCAAAATTTGAGGCTTGGATCTCATACATTCCCACCTGATATAGGACTTGGCTTCTCCAACTGAACCCTACATTTTACTTGTATATTCAAAACATTTCTATCTTGGCTTCTTGTCCTCAATCCACAAATACTATTTACAAAGAAGATTTTTCTCTGCTTTTATCTTCAGGTTTCTGTCTCCCAGTATAATCATATCCAGCCCCATGGCTCTTACTGGGGCCTCTGAAATGTTTATCACCAAATCTGTGTCTGCAGTTCCAACCTCTTCCCTGAGCATCAAAGCTGTATTTCCAACTTTCGCTGGATGCTTCTATCTGGGTAATATCTTAAGCTGAATTTATTCAAATATATATATTCAAAATGGAATTCATTTGACATCTTCCTCTTATCTTTGAAGCTACTGTCATTCCCAATCCTATATCTCAGCAGTGGCAATCCTGTATCTTAGCAGTGGAAGCTGAACAAGTTCCCTCATAATATTGTAGAAGTACAAACAGAGCATCAAGAATAGTCCTTTTAATTAAAGTTTAAGCCAGTAAAAACCTATTTTATCTATTCTGAGATTCCCATTATTTGGTTATATCATTGTAGATTATTCAGAGGACACTGGCATCTGCTACTTAATTTTATTTTTTTTAACATTTCATGAGACTTAAATTACAGTCTCATGGTAGAATTGTAGTTAATTGATGTACCTTATTTCTTGCCAAGATTCTGTTTTAAACAATTTGATTAATGTATTGAATGGCATGAATACAAAAATTGGGTTAGTTAAAATAATTTTTACAGATGGAAGATTTTTAGCGTGGTTAAATCTATTAAATGGGGAGGTAAGAGCTGTTTTGGCCTTCAGAATCTTTGAGAACATCATGTTAAATGAGACAACCACTGTTTCTAACTCTTCTTTCTTAACTTACTGAGAGTTACAACATTGTATTGCAAATTATAAATGGGATCATAGAATTAAACAATTTAGACTTAAAGTATCACATACTTTTAGCCTGTGTAATAAATATCACTAGACATTATTTGAACACAATGTTCCGTAACATATCTTCCTCGGAGAAACAAAACAGACACCTTTCCTGAGGGTGAAGGTAACCTTCTTGAGATTTATTTAAGCAAAAATAGAATCGAAGATGTTGAGATAGAGAAGTTCTTAGAGTTCCCTGCCTCCTTGGTTAGAATGATGAAACAGAAATTCAGAATATCACACGGTGCTTAGAGGCAGAAATGGAAAAAAAGAATCTGGTGTTCAAATTCATACTTCAGGTAGGAGGCAAGCAGCTATCTGGACCTTAAATGATTCTCTTGATTGATTGATAAATAGATAGATACGCAGCAATACTTTAGTTGGATACATTATTTGGTGCCTCTTATGTCAGTACTCTGATGTTTTCCATTTTCACAGTTTGGAAATAAGAAAAAGTAGACAAACTTGGCTGGGTGCGGTGGCTCACTCCTGTAATCCCAGCACTTTGGGAGGCTAGGGTGGGTGCATCACCGGAGGTCGGGAGTTCAAGACCAGCCTGACCAAGATGGAGAAACCCCATCTCTACTAAAAATACAAAATTAGCCGATTATGGTGGCACATGGCATATGCCTGTAATCCTAGCTACTTGGGAGGCTGAAGCAGGAAAATCGCTTGAACCTAGGAGATGGAGGTTGTGGTGAGCCGACATCATGCCATTACACTCCAGCCTGGGCAACAAGAGCGAAACTCCGTCTTAAAAAAAAAGAAAAAAAAAAAAGAAAGAAAGAGAAAAAAGAAAAGAAAAAGCAGACAACCATGCCTACTCTCTCTTTAGCTTTGAAAATGTTTGACGATGGTGGTGGGTGGGGCCTCCTCTGGGACCCTATAGTCATCACAGCAGTTAACACATTATAATTCAATTTCTGATTCTTTGTCAGACTTCCTACTAGACTGAAAGTTCCTTTTAAGAGCAGGAGCTGTTTTCTTTTCTATTACTGTATCTACAATGCCTGATGCAAAGCAAGTTCCCAGAAAAGACGAGTTTAATGAATGAAAGGGAGAATGGAGTCAGAAGTCAGAGCACCCAGGGACCCCTCTCCTGTCATCCGGTTTTAACCCTGTGTAGGAGGTAAGGAATGATACTCCCAGATAAACACTGCCTGCCACCCACATGTCACGGATTCCAAGGTACACATATTTTTATATTTTAATATCCCTGACATCAAAATCTACCTTACAATCAATAGCATGTCGTAGTAAGATACTGGCATGACTCACAGTTGATGGCTTATTGGATCCAGTGAAGAGTATTATTTTTGTAGGTAATAAGCTCTTACATAAATGAGAACAGGTAAGAATCGTTGGATGGGCTGGGTTGGAGTATAGTGGTGGGAGGGGTTTGCAGTAATAAACAGGATGGCCCAGGTGGGCATCATTATTAAGGACATGAGATTCAAGAAAGACTAGAAAGAGCTGAGGGAGGGAACATGTAGATATCTGGGGGAAGAATGTTCCAGGAAGATGGAATAGATGACAGTGCAAAACACAAGTGCACCTGGCACCCAAGGAACATGTCAGGAAGCCACTGTGGCTGGAACAAGGGGAGGTAATAGAGACAATGTCAGAGAGAGAAAGGGAGGTGGGGAGTAGATCATATAAGGCTCTGAAGGTTATTGCAAAGACAGATTTTACTCTGAGGGACATGTAGGGGCAAAGCAGAGTTCTGAGCAGAAAGTTGAAATGACTTGATTCACTTAAAAATTATTCGGACTGCTGCGCTGAGCACAAACTATATAGGGGAAAGGGGAGAAACTAAGAGACCTGTTCCAATACATTTATATTGATGCAGGAGAGAGTGGGTGGTGGCTCAGGACAGATGTTAACAGTGGAGGAAGTGAGAAGCAGTTGGAATCTGGATATTTTATGAAGATAGAGCCAACAGGATTCCCTGAGGCATGGGATGTTGGTACGGGAGAGGGGAAAGGGGTCAAGGATAGTGCCAAGGTTCTTGGCACGAGAACTAAAAGGAAGAAGTTGCCATCCCCTCAATGGAGACAGCTGTGGGTGAAGTTAGCTCAGGAGGGAAGATCAGGAATTCAGGTTTAGGCATGCTGAGTTTGAGTTGTCTGTTAGACAGGCGAGTGCTCCAAGTGATGTCTAGAAGGCTGCTGGATATTAGAGTCTCAGTGTGGGAAAAGATGTCTGGTCTTAATACTAGTTAACCACAGCATCCCAGTTTACACAAATATGGTGTGTGATATCTTCTTATCTTATTCGCCTCTCCAGGCTCCAGACCAGGCAAACACAACATCCTTTTAACTTACCTTTCTCACAGTGGCCTTCTATGGGTGAGCTGTCACATTGAGACCTGACCCACATAAGCTTTCCTAAAATTTCTCCATTTCTTTATACCTTATTTTAGACAAATGGTCCATCCTATCAGCAGTAAATTCATGAACAATTATGCATACCTTTCTCTCAGGCCTACCCAATTCTGTTCCTAAAATCTACAATTGAGGCAGTGATGGAACCCATTAGATGTATAGTCAATTAAGATTTAATACTCTAAAAAGAAGAGGCTTCATTTGTCAAATGCTATACAGTTGTATTGATAAATATCAGTGATAGCTGCCAATATAAAAGAAACCATATATTATCCATTTGAATATTTTTCTCTATTCCTGAGGATGCTGTATTAGGCACTGTTTATTTCATGAAATAAAGAGACATTCAATCTGAGACCTCTGTCAGTAAAGGAAAAATAATCATCATAATACCTAGATAAGTAAAGGTACTAGCACATTAGAGTTTTGATGATATATGAGAGGATAAAATAATAACTTATGTATAATTATAAATTTTGAAGTTTATGACATGAATATAGAACACACTCAAAGCAAGTTAAATCTCTGTCTACTTAACATTCAAATGGTTATACCATGTGAAAAGATTTACTCATAGCAAACTACTATTCAATGTTTGAATGGTTTAGAGTAGCAGCTTCCAAGGGGGGTGTGTACTATATGAGAAAATGGGTATGGGAGGAAAATAACTAAGATGTATTGTTTTATGTATTTATATATATATTTCTATGAGTATAGAAATCTTACATTTAAAATCTTGATTAGTCATAATACATGTATACATTTTTAAATAAAAATAGATATATTGATGGTATATGCCTAGTCTTATTGGGATGATGATGTGCATGGTATAAACATCTCAGCATCTTCCAAGACATGGATAACATTTTGCTTTTGATTAAGAAAATATGATTTTAGATTCAAACTAGAAATGGAGTTAGTAAAAGAATGAATAAACTTTGCTTTGAAAAATCAAAGCTCAAGAAGCAAAAGATGAGACATTTTTTCCTTGGTAAATTTTGGCCTAACTTTCCAAATTGCACCCTATTATGTCATATTTATTTCTGATTTTAGCTATCATTTTCTTCCTCTGATTTAGTCTTTCACAGAAATAAACCAGAGGTGAAAAGGGTTCTAGAAGTGTTATTTATTGTGTATTTTTTATCTAATTTTGCCCCATGCTAATAAAAGCTCACTTAGAGCTACCTTCTTACCACAAATCTAGAAAAGTTATTTTTGGTCCTTGGACCCCTAGTCTCCAAAGCATGCAGAAAATGTGTCTGGTGATGTCAATAGCTTCATGGGAGATTTTTTAAAGAAATGTTGTTATTGAGAGTTGGGAGCCTAGCTTAAATATGGTAAAGCATGCATTTTACTATAGGATACGTGTATTAGAATTGATATGGGGTACAAATCATTATTATACATAATTTGTTCAAGATTTATGCTTTTTGTGCTTTGATCTATTAGTAAAAAGCATATGATTGTAACAATTATCTTGGTTAAGTTGCATTAATATATTTGCCCTTTGCTGCTAATTGGAAACAAGGGCCTTTAGTAGAAAATCTTCTACTAACAATGCTATTAAGTGTTTTAAGTTGAGTTGTAATAATAGTTCTAAGGGGCTATAATTAATTTTGCCTATAGTATTAAATATAGTATAAACATAATTAGAAGGAATTATGTAAAGATGGCTACTGAGCTCTCTATCTCCCTTCCTCCCCAACTAGTGCCAAGTTCTTAGAAACTGACAGAAAATTTATAATCAGTTAATTTAATGTAGTATCAACCAAAATGCTAATATAATTTTATGAAGCATCAAATCTGATGCTAGGATGTATCTGAAAAAAAACTCCTCAGAAAAAAAGCCAAGAAAAATGTGAAAAAAAGAACGATACTGAAAAAGTCTAGCCCAGATTTCAGAATGTACTGTCATAATTTTAAAAGTGAACTATAAATTTAATTATATTTTAGATATATATATATATTAGACAAATGTCCATTATATCAGCAGTAAATTCATGAAGAGCCATGCACAGCTTTCTCCCAGGCCTACCCAGTTCTGTTCCTAAAATTTAGAATTTAGATAGTAATGGAACCCACTTAGATACATAGTCAATAAATATTTAATACTCTAAAAAGAAGAGGTTTCCTTTGTCAAATGCTAAACAGTTATATTGATAAATATCAGTGATAGCTGCCAATGTAAAAGAAAGCCATATCTTGTCCATTTGAATATTTTTCTCTATTCCTGAGGATGCTGTACTAGGCACTGTTCATTTCATGAAAAAAAGAGACGCTAAATCTGAGAGCTCCATCAGTAAAGGAAAAATAATCATCATAATACCTAGAAAAGTAAAGGAACAAGAAAATAACTATCCCAAAGGCCAGAAGAAAGATTACGTGTAGGGAAGGGCAAGAGGTTTTACATGGGAATGGATATTCTGAGGGTTTAGAGGGGCTCAAAATGTTCTCTACCTCAACTTACGTTGCGGTTTCCTGAGAGTTCACTTTATAATTATTTATTAAACTATGCATGTATACTGAGCACCCTTTTCTGTGGGTGAAAAGGGCATAGAAAAAGAGTATGGTCTAGCCACAGGAATAGACCAACATATCACTGGAAAGAATTGGTAGTCCAGGAATCAACTCATGTTTATATGAAAACTTAGGATCAGTAGCATTTCCAATTACTATGGAGAGGGTGAACTATCAAATGGGACAACTCACTGCCTCATTCTATATACCACCATAAAAGTTAGGTTAAGGAGCTAAATGTAATCTAAAATCTCCCAAAGTATTGGCCTGTCGTGGTGACTCACACCTGTAATCCCAGTCCTTTGGGAGGCCAATGTAGGTGGATTGGTTGATGCCAGGAGTCTGAGACCAGTGTGGGTAATACGATGAGACCCAGTCTCTACAAACAATTAAAAAATTAGCCAGGCATGGTGATGTGCACCTGTAGTCCTAGCCACATGGGAGGCCGAGGTGAGAGAATCACTTGAGCCCAGGGGTTTGAGGCTACAATGAGTTGTAATCATGCAATTACACTCCAGCCTGAGCAACAGAGTGAGATCCTATCCTTAAAACAACAACAACATAAAAACCTCTAAATGTAAAAATATTAAAATATAGCATTGGAGAACTTACTCTTCATCACGGAGAAGTTATACACACGAACATGGGAGATATTGTGAAGACTCAAGACCCAAATCAATGAATTAAAAATAACAATAAACACAAGTAGTGTTCTTTTGGTTAATATTTTAACTAATAGTTAAATAATTAAACACTAGAACACATTTGTGAAGGGAACTGTATTCTACTTATAAGAGTACCAGCCAGGCATTTCCTCATTCTCATGCCCATAGAGCTTCACGTAAACCCACCCAAGTGCTTAGCCTATACCATCCCTTCTTGTGATGCAGGAAATATCATTCTTGTCTAATCCCTAATTTGTGCCTCTGTTTGCACATCCTCACCTTGTTCATTCTCCCCTTTTTAATGGGATTTTTCCCATCCTCACACATGCATAAAAGAGCAGGAGCACCACTGTCCTCATCGATGACCCTGGCATAGCCCATGCTAGATTCCCCACTAGTTTTGTTCTCCTTTCTAGCTAATATTTCAAAAAAATATATGTATATAATGATCTTCCTTATTTCTCTTTAGTTATTCTTTCTTTTACTCTAATTGGTCCTTGATTTCTACCGCCCTGCTATAGGTAGTTGTATAAGTCTCTTCTTATGCTTCTAATAGAGACATACTCATGACTGGGTAATTTATAAAGGAAAGAGATTTTATTGACTCACAGTTCCACATGGCTGGGGAGGCCTCATAATCATGGTGGAAAGTGAATGAGGAGCAAAGTCACATCTTACATGCTGGCATTGCCTGCCAGGGGAACTGCCCTGTATTAAACCATCAGATCTTGTGAGACTTATTCACTATCATAGAGCAGCACTGGAAAAACCTGCCCCCTTGATTCAATTACCTCCCACCGGGTTCTTCCCACAACATGTGGGGATTGTGGGAGTACAATTCAAGAGGAGATTTGGGTGGGGACACAGCCAAACCATATCACCAGTCTTACCAAAGGAACCAGCTATCTACCTCCATGCTGCCATCCAATGCACAGTTCTCTTTTCTCATCCTTTATATCTCGAGTGAAATGTTCTTGAACTCCTGAGCTCAAGCAATCCTCCCATCTCAGCCTAGCCTCCTGAGTGGCTGGAACTACAGGGATGAGACACGGTAGCTGGCTTCAAGTGAAATGTTAAATTCTCAGAGATGCCTTCTCATACCTAAAATTGCACTAATACCTTTCCATTTCTTTCAATCCTTTGTTTTCTTCCTGGCACATCTCATATAATTAGCTCATAGTGAATATATCTTTATTTATCTATTTAATTGCTATGTAGCAAATTACCACCATGTTTCTTGGCCTCAAAAGCATTTCTTATCCCATAGTTTCTATGGATCAGAAATTCAAGAGCAACTTAGCTGGGTGTCTCTGGCTCAAGTTCTCTTATGAGGTTGTAGTCAAGGATTGATCATGGCTACGGTCTCATCTGAAGATTTAACTGGGGCTTGGGGGTTGGTGGGAGGTCTGCTTTTAGGCTCATTCACATGGGTCTTGACAGGAGGTCTCAGTGCCTCACTTCATGGGCCTCTCCATAGGGCTGCTTGAGTGTACTTACAACATGGCTGCTGATTTCCCCATCACAAGTGATCCAAGAGAAAGTCACATGTGTTAGACCATTCCTAGAAATGATATACCACTTCTGACTTATTCTGTTTGTAACCAACAAGTCACTAAGTCCAGTTCACACCTAGGAGGAGGGAAATTAAGTTCTACTTAGTGAAAACAGGAGCATCATATAATTTGTGGATATAACTTAAAGCCACCATACTCCCCATTAGAATATAAGCTCCCACAGTGCAAGGAATGGGTTACTGCTTACACTTACATCATTAGTGCTTAGAACAGCAGGCACTTTGATAAACATCTGTTTAATGAGTCAATAGATGAATGTCTCTTACTCTTGGGCAGCAAAGATATAGACTATGGAGTTATCTAGACCTGGTATGAAATTCTGACTCTACCTTTTACTAGTTCTGAACTTTGGACATATTAGTTTCTATGAGCCTCAGTTTCCTCATCTGTCACCTGTGCTATATTCCTGCTTCACAAGAATGCTATGAGGATTAATGAAATTGCATATATAAAGCACTTCTTCAAGCATTCAGCACAAGATAAGCATTCAAATTCTAGTTTCTCTGATTTTTTCCATCTTTTCACTTTCCCCAAAACTTTCAAGAATCACTATTTCTTTACTACATGATACCAAAATTTTCTATTTAACTTTCTCATAATGAATTAATCATATGTTCAATTATTTACATGTCGAAGAAAAATCAATTTATCTTAGATTTAAAGAATTTTTTCATTAGTGCATAATTTCTATTAGATCTTCCCAAGAGAATTCTAATATGTCCCTATGGAGGGGAAATTAACAAATGGGCCAATTGGAAGGAAGATTCCTTAGCATAAGAGGTACAACTGCAATTTAGATTCACTATTCTGTCTAAAAGAAAAGTATGTTACCCCATAAATAGATACATACTTGTTCAAGATTTATGCTTTTTGTGCTTTGATCTACTAGTAAAAAGCATATGATTGTAATAATTACCTTGGTTAAGGTGCATTAATACATTTGCCCTTTGCTGCTAATTGAAAATGAGGGTCTTTTGTAGAACATACCTACTGTGTACCCACAAAAATAAAAATAAAATAAAAAATAAAACTGTGATAATATTTAGTACTTGAAGGAAAGTCACAAGGCTCATCTGTAGTTGCACCATTTTTTCTTGTGGAAAATGACAGCAGACAGAATGAATTTGGGAAATTATTTTGTGGAGGGAAATGAGGCCATGGGACCCTGTGGGTGGAATGAACAGTACTGCTAAACAGCTTTTGTTGAATCAGAAACTGAGCGAAGAATTTACCAAGCTGCCCTGAAACTTGGTATCATTATGAGTGAGTCTACCGACGCAGCTCTTTTTTTTCCCCTTAAAAAATCAGGTGTAATTTACATTCAGTGAAAGGCATAGATCTAAATTTTATAGCCCTATGACACATATATAAATATGTATAACCCACACCCCAACCAAGATAGAACATTTCTATCACTCTAAAATGATCCTTATGTCTCTTTCCAGTCATTTGCTACCACCCCCAATGTAACCACTGATCTGACTTTTGTCATCTTTAGTTAGTATAGCCTCTTCTAGAAAGTACATACTGCTGTGCTTATTAGTATATGCCTCTGAGATCCATTGTTGTATGTGAGTAGTTTTTTGTTTGTTCGTTCGTTTGTTTTTTTGACCGAGTCTCGCTCTGCCGCCCAGGCTGGAGTGCGGTGGCGCCATCTTGGCTCACTGCAAGCTCCGCCTCCTGGGTTCACGCTATTCTCCTGCCTCAACCTCCCGAGTAGCTGGGACTACAGGCGCCCACCATCACACCTGGCTATTTTTCTTTCTTTTTTTTTTAATTTGTTAGTAGAGACGGGGTTTCACCATGTTAGCCAGGATGGTCTCGATCTCCTGACCTCGTGATCTGCCCACCTTGGTCGTCCGTCAGCTCCTCTAGTGAGTAGTTCTTTTTTGCTTTGCTGAGTAGTATCCCAATGTATGACTATATCAGAGTTTGTTTATTCATTCATCTGATGAAGAACATGTGGATTATATCCAATTTTTAGCTATCATGAATAAAGCTGCCATGAATAATCCTGTACATTTTTTCTTTGGGATCAATACTGAAGAATATAATTGCTAGATAATAAAGCTGATGCTTAATTTTATAAGAAAAAGCCAAGCTTTAAAAAATTGGTTGTTCTATTTTTATACTCCCATCAGCAATGTATGAAAAGTCCAGCGGCTCCCCAACTCCAGGGATGGTAATGGCTGTGTTTTCACTGTTAGGCATTCTGGTAGGTGTGAGCGAGTATCCACAATTTGCTCTATCACAGTTTTGTGCATGTTCGTGTTTTCTCCAATCATAGCTTTCATTCTTTACTTTCAGAAGAGAAGTGTTGGGACTGTATCTGTTCCTCCTTTCCCCCAAGCTCTTTCAGTAGGGAGTGTTCCCATGGAGTGAGGTGTCACACTGAATGAAGTGTTCAACTGCATCAGGTCTTCAGCACCCTAGGTAGTCCCAGATTGACACTTTCTTACCATGGCGATGTAAGAAAGCATTTACCATAGTAAGCGGGTCTGACCCCATATCCTGCTTTGCTTTGTGGATCTCCCATCTCCTCCTCATTCTGGCCCTTGTTCTGAAATATAACCTTTTGAAACATAAGTTTCCCTCACTGTCCAGTGCTCTGTCCAGTATGAGAAAACAGCAATAGGGAACAGTTACTGCAAAGCATGAACTCAGGACTCAGACTGCCTGAGCACACATCGTAACTCTGCTGCTGACCAGTACTTTACCTTAGACTCACCTCAAGCCTTGTTTTCTTCACCTGCAAAATGGGACAACTACAGTAACAACCTTGTAGTGTTGTTGTGAGAATTAAATAATAAAATATACAAGGCACTTAGCCATAGTTATGCCAAGGCTCCAGCTCTGCCGTCTATTATGCGAACATCTACTCTGATGCCTACGGACTTGACTTTTTACCACTCTCTGCCCCCACTTGTCCTGTGCTTTTATCTTCTTTTCTTTCTCTTCTCTTTCTCATATACTTCCTAGCCACATCAAGTCAATGTGTAACTTGGCTTTGGGCTTTCCTTTTTCACTTATGAACTAGTTATAAGAAGGGTGACTTCCAGAAAAATAGAAGTGAAATTTACCAAACTCATGCACTGTCTAAGAATTGAACAATGAGAACACTTGGACACAGGAAGGGGAACATCACACACCAGGGCCTGTCGTGGGGTCGGGGGAAGGGGGAGGGATAGCATTAGGAGATATACCTAATATAAATGATGAGTTAATGGGTGCAGCACATCAACATGGCACATGTATACATATGTAACAAACCTGCACATTGTGCACATGTACCCTAGAACTTAAAGTATAATGATAATTAAAAAAAAGAACTTAAAGAGAACCAATGCAAGCAAAAGCCACTTCTCTTTCTGTGATTATTCAAGTGGAGATGGTACACTTGCATGAGCTTTGGGACATGTTGTACTTCTTTAGGCAAAGCCAGCTTGTCTTCCAGAGAGATCTTCTTGGATGGCCTTCTACACCCTGTTGAATTCATCATAGCCCTGGTTTGATTTTGAAGAGTGAGAAGTTTGACTTCTCATCATGAGGATTTATCTCTCTTAGTTTGAGTTTCCTCAAAAGCAGATCTCCTGAAAACCTTCAAGGAGAGACAATGCCTCAGTTTCCCATGGAGGGGTGAGGAAGTTGGAATATTTTTCAACCAACATGTGCCCTTCATTGGTTGAGGGTCACTCCTGGAGTGTTAACTCCCTGACACATCCAGCCTTCCCTGAACATTCTGCCTGACTATTGGGCCAAGAAGAATAGGGATGCCTTGAAATAGGAGGAAAGTCTCTGCTGGAGGACCCAGGGGATATGCATGGCACTGACAACATCTACTTCATTATTTCGCAAATGTAAATTCACATTAACCACATCCACCAAACACAGGGAGTAATGCATGAAAAGCAATCATGCTGATCTATTAATATTCTATGAGAAATACAACCACCAGAAATTCCAACTATGTGTGCTTTGACAGTGGCAGCTTCTTTATGGTCATAACCAAATGGGAAGCCAGATTATCTTCACAAGGAGACTGGGGCGTTTAGAGCCGGTGACATGAGCTTCCTGGCTGGTGTCATTGACCTCTGACCAATGGCATACATCCCCTAGCGGGGATATTCCTTCACAGGGATGGTCTAGAGACTCCTGCAAAACCCTCTTTCTTGGATTTGACTCTGTTTTTTCTTTTTATAGACACCTTGCTGATCATCCTTCTCCTAATAGTGCACTTTCTTATCTGTAAGAATTATATTTATAATCATCCAATTATACCTCCCCCAGCTCATCTTATTTTAGTTCTGAGGGTCACCACTAATCTCTTGGTCATAGCTCCAGGTGGCTGCTCTCATCCATTACCTTTGGATTCTTTATCATTTCTTCACTAGAGGTTAAATTTAACCTTAGTTTTCGGAAATTTGTTGCTGTTAACTCCCATAGCTGCCTGCAGACATTTTCTTGATAAAATAAGAAAGTGAGTACAAGAAGTGGGTAATAATTTATTTTTGTTTTTTATTGTTTTGAGATAGGGTCTCACTATGTCACCCAGGCTGGAATGCAGTGGTGCGATCTCTGTTCACTGTATCTTCGGCCTCTCGGGTTCAAGTAATCCTCCCACCTCAGCCTCCTGAGTAGCTGGGACCATGGGCATGTACCAGCACACCTGGCTAATTTTTGTATTTTTTGTGGAGATAGAGTTTTGCCATGTTGGGCAGGCTGGTCTCAAACTCCTGCTCAAGTGATCCGCCCTCCCCCGGACTCCCAAAGTGTTGATATTACAGGCATGAGCCACTGTTCCTTGATGGCAATAGTTTATTTTAAAAATATTTGAATTCATTAGGCCAAGTGTGGTGGCTCATGCCTGTAATACCAGCACTTTGAGAGGCTGATACAGGAGGATTACTTGAGGCCAGGAGTTCAAGACCAGCCTGGACAAAAGAGTGAAACGCCCATTTCTACAAAAAAAAAAAAAAAAAATTAAAAAATTGACTGAATGTGGTGGCACACACCTGTAGTCCCAGCTCCTTGGGAGGCTGAGTGGGAGGGTCCCTTGAGCCCAGGAGTTTGAGGCTGCAGTGAGCAGTGATTACACCAGTGCATTCTAGCCTGGGTGACAGAGCAAGACCCTATCTCAGAAAAAAAAAAAAATTTTTTTAAATTATAGATCTGCTCTTTCTTGACACTCCGCTATAGTAGAAAGAAAACTGGAGTATGTTAGGTTGAATGACATGAAGTTGGCAAGATTCAACCATTTTTGACATATAATAGGTCAATTTCATATAGTTCAGCCTACATAAAGACAATAATGTTCTCTATCAAAAAGTGAGTCAAAATATCTTATCTCTGTTAGGGCTATGTGGCTTTTAAGCAGATCCTCCCACCTCTTTGGGTCTTAGTTACTCGTCTGTAAAATGGGTTTGACTAGATAAATTATAGGAGCTTTCCCACAAGTTTTATGAAGATTGGTCATTGCTATGGCTGCTATAAGAAGTCTTGTTTCAAGGATGTTTTTTCTTGTTGTGACATCTTGCTTTCTTATATTCATGTTCTCTTACGTTTATACCCAGGAGTCTCCTCTGTCCTTTTCTAATCTTTCTTGCTGGACAGTTTTTTCCTTAAGACAGCTCTATCTGAGTTGTTTGTCCCTATGGCAGCCATGAACAATAGAGTAACTATCTTTGCTGTTTATCTATCCTTGACAACTTGATGTCCAACTTGGCACTGAGGATAACTTCTTGAGGGCTCATATTTCCTTTAGGGCCTCAACTCCAACGATTCTTCAACCCCACTGTGACCTGAAGTCCATGCATCCTACCCCCTTTCTGTTGTCTCTCACTCTCTTCATGTCCCAATTTTCTACTGTTTCAGCTCACATTTTACTCTGCATTACTCTAATTACTGTCTTGCATTTTCTAGGCACACATTGCTCCTTTCCCCTTCCTTTGTAATCACTTGGCAAAAGTCTAACCCAGATTACATTCAACTCTTCATGCCCATCTTGCCTACACTCACCCAGCTAAACACAGATGGAGTGAAACACACCATTGTGCTGGCTCGTTTCACTTTACAGCCATGACTACAAACCACGCATGGGTCCTTAGAGCTGCCGAGTAGTCAGATTATGTTTCTGGAGCCCCTTTACTCTCCTGTTCTTTTAGGTAACCATTTTATACCTTATCTTCTCCCTCATTTTCACCTTCAGCTGATTTTCTTGTTTCTTGTTTCTTTAAGAAAATAGAAGCCATCAGAATGAGACATCCCCATGTCCCCATCATCGCACTGTCAACCGCACATCTGCACTCATCTGCGCTCATGTTCTCTGCCTACATTTCTTTTTCTTAGAATGAACTGCCTGTGCTTCCTGCAGAGTCCAAGCCCTCCTCTTAGGAAGTCGACCGTCCTCTTTCGCCTGCCCAAGGACATCACTCTGGCAACTCTTCCCCCTCTCCTGCATTATCTGTTGGCCTTTCTGTGTCATACACATAAGCTCTATTTTTTCCCCATCTAAAAAAGAAACTCTTTTGACTCTAGGCCTCTCCAGCTACCACCCTACTTTTCTACTGCCCTTTAGAAAAAACTCCTCAAAAGAATTATTCTCACATTTCTGCAGGATAACATCACACATTCTCCTAGTTCTATATTCTTCTACTAGCTAATTTCTTTGTACCATATTTAGTTTTTAAAGAGCTCCTTTCTCTATAAATATTTCATTTCAATGCCAGAGGTCATATCAGATGGAGAATGGCTGGTTGGTGGTTTAACACTGATTAAAAGAAGAGGAAAAGCAGCCAAATATTTAGAGAAAAGGTGAAGCCATTCCATCCCATCACCTTTGTTGGAGCATTTCAATTTGCTCTCTACCTTAGATGTGCTCTCTAGCCCATAGCTGAGCTAAAGGTATATTAAGTCTGTCTAACCGGGCTTGAAGGGAAGCTGGAAGACCATTTGTTCTTTTAAATCTCTTTAGTTTGCAATTGTCAGATTCAATTTTGAGGGGAAGAGTTCAGAGCATCATTGAAAGTAAAAAAGATGGGGGAAAGTGATAGCCACATGATAAATTATATCAAAGTCAAAGTCATCGCCCTATGGCAATTTTTGCAAAGAAGTATTTTTAGCATGGATAGCTAAAGGGTAGAGCATGTCACAGAGACACCTGTGTAGTTATGCAGACTGGCAGGGATGTAGAGGAACTATTAGAACCCCTGCCTTGTGTATCAATGGCATATTTTATCCATGGGCAGAATTAACAGATAATATTCGCTATACTGATTAGGAGAGAAGACAGCTTCATCTCCACACAGCTGGAAATATGTCCTGCTTCAATGTCAATTTGTTTATGCTGTGGGCCAAGTCATGCCCCCATATGTCTGTATTTTCACATCTCTAACAGATATTAATTGCACTAGATTTGCTGTGCTGTACTTTTGATTAGTCAGAAGTTCGGCCTAGTAAGTTAGAACTCTGTGTTCTCACTGTGTTAAAGGGATGCTTGTCATTATATTGTTTTGAAATTGTTTAAAAGATACAGTTAGGGAGGCATAGTCCTTGATCTTTTAAAATCCTTTTAAAGAAATGAACGGGGCAATTAGATAGCAAAACTGAAAACTTATGGGCTTTTATTTTTTAATTTTTAATTACTATGGGAACATAATAGTCATATATTCTTTCATTCTTTTTTTCCCTCCCTTCTTGTTTAAGTTAGGCCAGAGTCCAGTTTTCTTTATGGTTTTTTTTTTTTCTTTCTTTCCCTTTTTTTTTTTTTTTTTTTTGCGATGGAGTCTCGCTCTGTTGCTCTGTTGCCCAGGCTGGAGTGCAGTGGTGTGAACTTGGTTCACTGCAACCTCAGCCGCCTGGATTCAAGCGATTCTCTTGCCTCAGCCTTCCCAGTAGCTGGGACTACAGCCGCGCGCCACCATACCCGTATAATTTTTGTATTTTTAGTAGAGACAGGGTTATGCCATGTTGGCCAGGCTGGTTGAGAACTCCTCATCTCAAGTGATCCACCCACCTTGGCCTCCCAAAGTGCTGGGATTACAGGTGTGAGCCACCGCGCCTGGCCCCTTTACTTTTTATTTATTCTTTCTAATTTCAACTTTTATTATAGATACAGGGGGTACATATACAGGTTTGTTCCATGAGTATATTGCAGCAGGTATGGGCATAGTACCCAATAGGTGGTTTTTCAACCCACAGCCTCCTCCCTCCCTCCCCCATCTATAGTCTACAGTGTCTATCGTTCCTATGTTTATGTCCATGTGTGCTCGATGTTTAGCTCCCACTTATGAGAAAGTGTGAGATTTGGTTTTCTAAACCCTGCACGTGTACCCCTGTGTCTAAAATAAAAGTTGAAATTAGATTAAAAAAAAGTGAAGACCCTGGTATAACTTAAACAGGAAGAAAAAAAGAATTAAAGATTATATTACTATTACGTGCCCATAGTAATCAAAAATTAAAAAAATAAAAGTTGTCCATAGGTTTTCAGTTTTGGTGTCTAATTGCCCTGTTTCTATAAGAGGATTTTAAAAGATCAAGGACTATGCTTCCCTAACTGTATCTTTTAAACATTAAGTCACTTAGGGTAATGGCCTGCAGCTGCATTCATGCTGCTGCAAAGACATGATTTCATTCTTTTTTTATGGTTGCATAGTATTCCCTGGTGCAGATGTACCACATTTTCTTTATCCAGTCCACCATTGATGGGCACCTAGGTTGATTCCATGTCGTTGTTATCATGGAAGTGTTTAGAACAAAACTAGTTGAAAAAATATCCCCTAGAATCCCAGGTACAAGGAGAAGGGGACAAACCCCCAATACCACTGACCTGCATGGGCTGAATGTGGCAGCAAGAAGCAGAGGGAGGCAAGGGGGTGACTGAAGAACCAGAGAAGGTGGTAACCCCAAACTATCCAAGAGGTACTCTACAGAAAGCTTAAATATTGCCTGGAAATGGGCACTTTTATGGATTGCCCACTCTGCTAGGCTCAGTTTTAGATACTAGAGAGGCCACATTAAATGAAATGGGAAAGGTCTCTACTCTTACAGAGCCTATGTCCTAGAAAAGAAACATAGACAAATAATAGAATTTCAGACACATAGATGTGCTAAAACAAAGGAAGGCAATAGAAGGAACCCATGTGGCTGGGTGAGGAACTCTGCTTTTAATGAGGAGGTGACATTTAAGCAGACAGGTGAGTGGACCTTAGCGGACCTGATTTAATAAATAGAATGATGAGGATAAGTTCATTGATTATTTGATCCAGGATTGAACATTATTCACTTAAATAGGTTAATTATTCTCCTTTATGATCTCATCTTTCAAAATTTTCCTCCATGCAATATCAAAGGCTGCCTGTATCCAAAATCAAAATGAGTAATTTTGATGACATAACTGCATGTGGCCTGATAAAAATCATCCTTATTAAAATGAATTCTGGAAGGGGTCCCAAGATTGGTGCAGTGGTTCAGCCTTGCTGCCAAGAATCCAGCTCCCCGCAGTCTGTCAATATATACCCTCAGGTCTGTGTATTTTGGCCGAACGTGGGGGCCATGGTCAGGCATCAGCATCTTGTGGGAGCATATCCTAATGTTGGAAGGAAAACAAAGTTTGTCTCTTTTCTCTCTTGTCTCTTCTCTCTCTTAAAAAAAAAAACATTTTAATGAAGAATTGTGCACATATTGTTAGGCATATATAGCTTGATATGTTTTCACAACTGAATGCATCCAGCATTCAAATCAAAAAGCAGAATATCATTAGTACCTAAGAAGTCTCCCATATGCCCCTTTTCAATCACTACCTTCTCCAAATGTAATTAGTTGCATGATTTTAAGTTTCTAACATCTTAGATTAGTTTCACCTATTTTAACCTTTTGAACTTTAAATGGAACTTCACACTATGTACTGTCTCATGTTGGCTTCTTTTACTCATTATGTTTGTGGGATTCACAGCCATTTTTGTGTGTAAATTATTTTTATTACTCCATAGTATTCCATTGTCCATTCTGCTTGAAAATATATATATATATATATATATATATATTCTGCTTGAATATATATATATATATATTCTGCTTGAATATATATATACATATATATTCTGCTTGAATATATATATACATATATATTCTGCTTGAATATATATATACATATATATTCTGCTTGAATATATATATACATATATATTCTGCTTGAATATATATATATATTCAAGTAAGTAGAATATATATATTCAAGTAAGTAGAATATATATATATTCAAGTAGAATATATATATATTCAATTAGAATATATATATATTCAATTAGAACATATATATATATTTTTTTCTTTTTTTTTCCTTTTTGAGATGGAGTCTTGCTCTGTCGCCAGGCTGGAGTATAGTGGCGCAATCTCAGCTCACTGCAACCTCTGCCTTCCGGGTTCAAGTGATTCTTCTGCCCCAGCCTCCCGAGTAGCTGGGACTACGTGCTCGCACCACCACACCCAGCTAAATTTTGTATTTTTAGTAGAAACGGGGTTTCACCATTTTGGCCAGGATGGTCTTGATCTCTTGACCTCGTGATCTGCCTGCCTGGGCCTCCCAAAGTGCTGGGATTACAGGCGTGAGCCACCACGCCCAGCCCATTCTACTTGGTTATCATTTTAAACAGTAACCAGTTTGGGGTTATGAGTAGTGCTGCAGTGAGCATTCTAGTGCATGTCTCTTGGTGATCATATATACACATTTCTTTTGACTTTTTGAAGTCCTGTATCTAATTTCCTCTCAAGTCTTCTTGGGCAACATTAGGTCACATGCCCTTCCTATTTGCAGTAGAACCTGGGAAAGAAAATATCTAAGAATGTGCTGTTAAATGTTCAACAACTAGCTCTTAGCAGGAGGGTTGGGCAGGGAGAAGCAGGGAGAGGGCGGCTTGATGGGAGGAGGGTTGATTTGCAGCATCTGCAGTTTCTTGGTGTGAATACTCCCATCATGGCCAGTTTTAAGCTACCAGTGTTATATCAACCACCTTGCAAAAACAGCTCTCATAGAATTAGTGTTAGCCAGCTCCAGAATGCCACAGAAAATAGCTAACATTTTCACTTTTTATAATTGGAATTTGGCTCTGCCAGAAAAAAAAAATGGAGGCTAGGGAGGGATAGGAAATGTTGTTCCATAGGCAATCAGTATTTTTGCACCAATTATTGAGTTACTACTATGAATAAATTAATAAACTACTATCCTAACCCAAAGATGATTATTATAAATTTTAGATTATTGGTGAAAATGAAAACTGGCTTTTAGATACTATTAGGATAGGCTAGATTTATACTGTGGTTAAAAAAAATCCCCAAATTCTAGCATTTCACCCATAGGAGTTTGTTTTTCACTCATGCAAACTCCACTACAGGTCAAGAAACTCTCCAGTGCAGCTATTCTTCATGCAATGATTTAGCAACCCGGACAGCATCATGTTATGGCTCATTATTTCAATACTCAGTCTCCATGGTCACCGCTGGAGCAAAGGAGACAGGTGAGGGTTATACATGTGCTTGTAATACCTTCAGTGCAAAAGTGATTTATCAATTCCACTCATAGGTCATTGCCTAAAGCTAGGTACTGGGTCCCTCCCAACTGCAAGGACAATTGGTAAATCTGTGGGTATATGATGTACTGTAAATGTCTCTGCCACAGAGACCATCCACTCAGAACCATCTGTTATTTTTTAAAGATCCTAAAATGGGCCTTTAAAAATATTTAGTTCTATGCATTTCCACCCTAACATATATCCAGTTACTCTAGAAAAATAACCACAACTGTACTCGAAGTTATCCACCAGTAATGCATTATCTCAGAAAATAGAAGAAACTGTTTCTTAAGCAATAACAAGATCAATCCTAATGAAGACTCTTTTCTATATATGAGTTAATTGGCTTTTATATTGGACTATAATCTCCAGTATAGGTAATGCCTTCAGCCATAATGCTTATTTTACCATCACCGTAGTAATAATTGATGTAGGTAAGAATCATCAACAGACGCTAAAACCACTGGGCTAAAGGGTGCTGAGCAAGAGAATATTTGCATAGGCTTCAAAGTGATATACCCACATTTATTACTTACAAAGGGGAAAAGGTAGCATTAAAATGGAGAGATTTGGCAGATATTGCCTCTTCCAATTGATCAAATTTAATATTGCCAATAATGGGGCAAACTAAAACCATGTGCCCCATACGATACACTGAGAAAGGGACCTAATGGTATCTACACAGTATGCCTACCAAAACTGTTAACTATGAACATAATCTTAAGAAAAAACTCAGGCAAATCCTAATTTAGAGCTGTCTTGAAAAATCTCAGCTGTACTCTTTTAAAATGTCAATGTCATGGAAGCCAACACAGTGTCCTTGATGAAAGGAGATCAAGAATGATGACTAAATGCAGTGTGTGATTCTGGTTCAGATCCTGGAAAATGAAACTATAAAGGACATTATTGGTTTAAGGTGGAGATTTTGATTATAGACTATATATTTGATAATAATATTGTATCAATGTTAAATTTCCCAAATGCAATTAGTATGTCATAGTTATACAGGAGAATGGGTTTGTCTTATGAGAAATGTGTTGATTAGTGGTGAAGTGTCATACCTGCAGGTACATTCAGGTGATTCAGAAAAAAAGGATACGCATATATTTATATGTGTATGTGTGTTTAAGTATATGTGTAATTATATGTACGTATAAACACAATATACACACATACAGAGAAAGCAAATGTGGCAAAATGTTAATCTTTGAAGAATCTAGGTGAAGGTTGTCTGGGCATTAATTCTTCCACTCTTGCAACTTTTCTTCAGTTTGAAATGTTTCAAAATAAAAAAAACGGGAAAATACTGTTTGTTCCATTTTTCCTGCAGTTTTGCAACTCAATTCACTCCTGTCATATTTGCTAAAACATCAGTCTTATTGGGACCAACTTCATTCTGTTGCTTAATCTGCACGGTTTAGTCATCAGATGAGAGTTGGGCTTCAAGATTGTTTTTTTTTGTTTTGTTTTTCATTTAACAGCTTATTGGTTTATTTTTGATATGTGTCTGTATCAGTTAGGATAAGTTAGGTTTTTTAAAAACTACTTTTTTGCAGAATGGTTGACATGTAAGAAGCTATACATATTTAATGTGTACAACTCAGTGAATTTGGGGATAAGTATACACCTGTGAAGCCACTGCCACCATTAAAGCTGTAGGCATATCCATCACCTCCCAAAGTTTCCTCTCACCC